>NT_187617.1:0-167999 GCF_000001405.40 Homo sapiens | reverse complement strand
GAATTCTCCCGAATATGTGAAAGGAAGGGGCAAGTCCGCAGTCTCACCAGTGATGCTGGAGGGTGGGGCGCTTCCCACCTCATCACGGGAGCCACAGCAAACCTGGGGGCAGACGGCACACAACGTGACAAGTGCAGCCCCACAGGCCCCTCAACGTCAACATAAAGACACTTCACAGAAGCGCATCAAGGTTACTATACACCACAACCAACGGGAATTGTTTCTGGGGTGCAAGGTTGTTTTCATGTCCAAAAATCAGTCAATGTGACCACCACATACTGACAGGCAAAAGAAGAAAAACCACACACACCATCATATCAATCAACAAACTCCTAAAAAATTCAACACCCACTGGTGATAACAACACACAGAAAACAGGAAATCCAACTTGATCAAGGGCATCTACGGGCAGAAAACCCAGAAACAGACCACACAGGTGCACCTGAGTGCCCTCGAGACGCTGCGGCAGAAGCAGCCATGGAGGGAGGACGGCGCCGGCGACAATGCGGCTGGGGCCAGAAAACCACCCTCAAGAGCATCTGGGGCTGAGGTGTCGCATGAAAGACTATAGAACTTTTAGGATAAAACATCAAGAAAATCTCTGGGATCTGGGACTGGGCTACTAGTTAACTTCACAGCAAAAGCACGATTCCTAAAAGAAAGAAGTGATAAATAGAATCTCGTGAAAATTAATAACTTTTGCTCTGCCAAAGACCCTCTAGAGGATGAAAACTCAAGTTGCTGACTGGGAGGAAAGGATTTGTAAGCCACACATCCAACCAAGGACTAGCAGATGGAACAAACACAGGAGTGATGGGTAATTATTCACCACGGAAATGCAGGTTACAGCCACAACCAGCTCAGGACACACCTATCAGAATGGCTGCAATAAACAGCACTGGCCACGCCACCTGGGTCACTCACCGCTGCTGAAAACATGAAATGATGATGCAGGTATTCCAGAAAAAGGTCTGGCAGTTTCTTTAAAAAGCTAAACACACACTCACCATCCAATTTAGCAACTGTATCTACCACTGGACATTTATCCCAAAGAAATAAAAACTTAGATAGGTTAAGCATCCCATATCCAACATGCTTGAGACCAAAAGTGTTTCCGATTTTGGATTTTTGAATTTTGAAATATCTGTGTTACACTTACGGGCTGAGCATCTGCAACCGGTGACCCCAAATCCGAATGCTCTGATGAGCACTTCCTTCCAGGGCCACGTCAGTGCTCAGAAAGGTGCGAATCTTCGTGCTCAGAAAGATGCGAACCTTGGAGCATTCCCAATTTTGGATTTTCGGATGAGAGGCTCAACCTGTGCAAACATTTAGAGCAAAGGCTGGAAACAACCCAAATATCCCTCAAAGGGTGAACGGTGAAACCACAGTTGGCTCCACCACACACCATGAGACCCGGCTCCGCAAGAGAAGGACATGAATGAGGGGCACGGAGGTGCTCCAGGAACTGGCTGAGGGAGGAGGGCCAACTCCAGAAGGTTGCCGACTTGCCGTACACAGCACTCCGGAGAGGGCGCGGTGCAGGGAGGGACAGCAGGTGGAGGGCCAAGGGTCAGGGAAGGGGAAGCGGCTGAGGCCATGAAGGGCCGCAGGGGAGCTGGTGTGAGGGTTCTGTGTCTGGATGAGTCTGTGTGGGTCCTAGTGGTGAGCCTGTTCCCCACTTTCACAAGAGGCAACCACAGGGGAAACAGGATAAAGGGTCCAAAGGGCCTCTCTGCATTATCACTGCATATATATCTACAAATATCTCAAAAAGTCTAACCAAAAAACTGAATGTTCCCACTCACCCCCAGGTCCCCAGTGAGCCAGCCTGCCAGCCCAGCACCAAAAAGGTCAAAGCCAGAATTAGAAAAAACGTACAACGTTCAAAGACTTAGATGAGGACCAGTCCAGGGACGAAGGGCCAACTGCCCTCACTGCCAAGCGTCCTGTCACAATGGGGTCTGCACGGGGTTCCGAGAACAGAATGAGGAACCACCACTCTCAGGAGGGTGGGGAGACGGGGCCACCTCCACAGCAGCACAACCAATGCACACAACATATGAGGCCTGGGGCCACTCAGGCACGGGACCCACTGTGAGACGGGATGCCATGGGGGAATCGGGCAACCAATGCCCGTGACAGATGAGGCCTGGGGCTGCTCAGGTGTGGGACCCTCCGTGAGACAGGAGTGCCATGGGGGAACTGGGCTGCAGGGCACCAGTGCTGTTGCAAGCGTGTGAGGGTGGCTGCAGGAGACCACGCTGGACCCGTTTATACAGGTGGAGTGGTCCTGCAGGCACTAGGGGTCCACACGTGGAGTGGCATTGCGGACACAGGTCTATTTAGTGCAGGGAACTGGGCAGGCGCCACATGAACTCAGACAAGCAGGGGGGACTCTTGGATTAAACCAGAAGAAAACACTCTACTGTTCCTCCAAGATGGAGGCCTACGGAGAAAAGGGAGGGTGGGACCAGAGGCGTGGCCAATCCACACAGGCCCAGGTCCTCACCGCAGCACGAAGGCCCCGCAGAACTCCTGCCGGCTGGTCCCGTTTCCTCAGACTTCCAGCACTATGTCTAGCCTGGGGAGGGAGACATTCAAACAGGGATTCCTTTTTTCTGATGTAAGTAGGTCGTTTCATCAATTTTGAAAACTATCAAAAAGCAGAACCCAGGCTCATTTTAGGAGAACTCAGTTTCCAACACGTACAAGTGAAGGGAGAGACATTTCCTTAACGTGACAAAGATGCATCCAGCCTGCAATCACCCAGACCAGGGGGCCCGCTGCTGCAGCCACAACAACGCTGCTTCCCGCCACCAAACTGACGATTATCGCAACCTAACAAATCACATTAACATCCTTTCGTATAAATGAGCTGGTATTAACTGAAGTAATATTGATATTTTGGTGCAAATTACACTTTCACATTAAAAACAGAAGAAAATTTCATCAAAAGTCGACTTATTCAAATGAACTACAGCCCAGCGTGCATCTTCCTCACGGAAGGCACAGCTAAACAGTTGTTTATGACGTGCCATTCGAAACTGAACTGCTGCTGTTCACGTAAATTATACACATTTCAGAACACACATACACAGTTATCGGCTGCCATGTTATTAGTGTCATTCAAGTAAAAGTGTTTGACTTCATTCAAATCCAGCTTACCATCTGCAAGTCTGTTTTCAGATAACAATTATTTTTTTCTCATTGATCTTAGAAATTCCTAGCTCACTTCAAGCAAGGCTGAATTATTAAAACACCAGTTTTGTATCTAATCTTTAACCACTTTATGTAGTTTAAGACAATGAGGACAGGAGCTTGAGACCAACCTCAGCAACATGATGAAACCCCATCTCTGCTAAAAATACACAGATTAGCCAGGCGTGGTGGCACGTGCCTGTAATTCCAGCTGCTCAAGAGGCTGAGGCATGAGAATTGCTTGAACCTGGGAGGCGGAGGTTGCAGTGAGCCAAGATTGCACCACTGCACTCCAGCCTGGACGATGGAGCAAGATTCCGTCTCAAAAAAAAAAAAATAAATAAAAATACTGAAGAAAAAATAAGTCAAAGGTTTGTGATTTTATTTTAAATTATTAAGAAAAATTTTTTTTTGAGACAGGCTCTCACCCTGTGGCCCAGGATGAAGCGCAGGGGTGCGATCACAGCTCACTGCAGCCTTGAACTCCTGAGCTCGAGAGATCCTTGCGGGTCCACCTCCCAAAGCACTGGGACTACAGTGCGAGCCACCCCCCTGGATATTTTATTCAACAGTATGAAAAGCAGCGTCTAAAGAACAGGTGCTGTTCGCAGTACTGATCGTGTGGCTGCTTTAAATTATCACATAATTTCGAAACCAAATCTCAGCAGTATCACTTCAGTGCACGTATCTGTCCTGCCATCGTGCTTCTACTGATTAGAATGACAGTACAGAACAGACCCTGACTTCCTAGACGGGGGGTCTCCACATCCTTCTGCTCTAGGTGGTGCTGGCCCGTTCACTGACTGGCCCACAGCAATCCCATAGGCCAGGTTCCGCCCTGCTGTTCTCAGAAGTGTCCAGGAGCTTTGTCAACTGGCTGGAGAGTTGGAATTAATTAAGTCAAATAAAGAAGTAAGAGTAGCACCAAAGCACTAAGCCCTGGTGTTACAGAAAGAGACCTGTTCCCAGTCCCTGGGATCACCGCAGTGGTGAGAGTGGCTGTGGGCTGGGCCTGAGCGGCTCCAGGGTAGGAGGCTTCGCAGGAGCAAGTGGGCAGCGTGTGGGATCAGCTATGCCTTCGCCACAGATGAAAGGACGGAGAGCTTCCAGAGGGCACGTGCCATGCTCAGGGCCCTTCTGGACCCTGCCCCAGGCGCCCCCTCATTCGGCT
Organism: Homo sapiens; assembly: GCF_000001405.40. NCBI lineage: Eukaryota > Metazoa > Chordata > Mammalia > Primates > Hominidae > Homo > Homo sapiens. The sequence continues at coordinate 163,627 of NT_187617.1, read as the reverse complement.
GTTCTTGAGCCTTTAAAATAAACTGGTATTGCTGAGTGAAACGTTTTCCAGAATTTTGTGAGCCGATTCAGCAGATTATCAAAACTGCACAAGTCTGTGTGTGGGGACCCCCAACACTGTGGCCAAGCTGGACAGTGAGGTGGCCTGGGGGTCCGAGATGAGGGCAGCCTGGTGGGACTGAGCCCCTAGACTCAAGGCCTGATGACAACCGTGGGTCGTCAGCGTCAGAAACAAACTGAACTTTAGGCACCTGCTGGCCTCGAAGAGCTAGAGAAGCAGTGTTGGAAAGACACCTTGTATTAAAAACCCAACCAGCCCGCAACAGGAAGCCCTTCTAAAGACCTGAAACGACATCACCACGAGGATGCCTTAACAGGAGATGACATCGTCACCAGAACACGATGGGAAGTGACATCACCAGGACACGATGGGAGGTGACATCATCACCAGAATGCGCTAATGACGGGTGGTGACATCATCACTAGGACACGATGGGAGGTGACATCATCACGAGGACGCCCTCCTAATGACAGGAGGTGACAGCATCACCAGGACACGATGGGAGGTGACATCATCACCAGGACGCCTTCCTAATGACGGGAGGTGACAGCATCACCAGGACACAATAGGAGGTGACATCATCACCAGGACGCCCTCCTAATGACGGGAGGTGACAGCATCACCAGGACACAATAGGAGGTGACATCATCACCAGGATGCCCTCCTAATGATGGGAGGTGACATCACCAGGACACAATGGGAGGTGACAGCATCACCAGGACGCCTTCCTAACGACAGGAGATGACATCGTCACCAGGACACAACAGGTGACATCATCACCAGGACACAGTGGGAGGTGACATCATCACCAGGATGCCTTCCTAATGATGGGAGGTGACATCATCACCAGGACACGATGGGAGGTGACATCATCACCAGGACGCCTTCCTAATGGGAGGTGACAGCATCACCAGGACGCCTTCCTAACGACAGGAGATGACATCGTCACCAGGACACAATGGGAGGTGACATCATCACCAGGATGCCTTCCTAATGATGGGAGGTGACATCATCACCAGGACACGATGGGAGGTGACATCATCACCAGGACACCTTCCTAATGGGAGGTGACAGCATCACCAGGACGCCTTCCTAACAGCAGGAGATGACATCATCACCAGGACACAATGGGAGGTGACATCATCACCAGGATGCCTTCCTAATGATGGGAGGTGACAGCATCACCAGGACACGATGGGAGGTGACATCATCACCAGGACGCCTTCCTAATGGGAGGTGACATCATCACCAGGACGCTTTCCTAATGATGGGAGGTGACATCAACACCAGGACGCCTTCCTAATGGGAGGTGACATCATCACCAGGACGCCTTCCTAATGGGAAGTGACATCACCAGGACACCTTCCTAACAACTGGAGGTGACATCACCAGGATGCCTTCCTAACAACGGGAGGTGACATCATCACGAGGACACCTTCCTATCCATCAGGGATGACATCATCTCTGTGGCTGGGGATCCTCTTCCCTGTCATCAGAATGGAGGACCTCAGATTCATCCCAAACCCCCCACCCCCTAGGTCCCAGAGCGTCGCCAGGCTGCCGCACGGGAAGCCACCCGCACCGGCCCAGCTGCCCGCAGCCACCCTGCACCTGCCCACATCCCAGTCACCCGACCCGACTCCTCCTCTTAGCAACACTCTCCACCATGACCTCAAGGGCCGTGAAATCAGCCGAGAGGGGCACACGCTGCTCTCCAGAATCGTAAAAGACAAAACACAATCTATGAAACAGAAAACCGGGGAGGAACTAGAGCGCGTTTCCAGAGGGAGCGGCCTCTCCCGAAAGCCGGCTGGGCTTTGCCGCGGTGCCTGGCGGGGCCTTCTCACCTGTCCACCCAGGTTCGGGAGCTGCCACCCACTGTGCGAAGGCCACGCCCTGGCCACCCCTGCTCCTGACTTGGGAGGGCCATGCACTCCAGGCCTCAGCATCCCCACGCAGGGACAGTGCTGGATCCTGCAAAGGCTCGAAAAGGACATCAAGCCGTACCTCTCCATCTCCCCATTAACCGTGAGCACCCGTCTCCCTCTAGCAGCCTGCATTCTGTACCCGTCACAGGATCTGAGGTGTTGTGACCTGTCAGACGGCTTCCAGGGGCAAACGCACACCAGGTCTTGGTGGGTGCTCCTTGCCTGGGTCAAGTTTAATTGAGTTGAACTTTTGGTTGAATTTCAAAGCAACAACCACGGTACAAACAAAGACTCCTCACTTAAATCTCCAACAATGTCCCACAGCCATTTACATGGGGTCTCCAGGGGCCACAACCTTAGGCTGAGGGCTGATCTCGGGTCCACGCGGGCAAACAGGCACAGAGGCCACATGCTCAGGAAGCATCCCTCAGGGCCTGCAATCTCCCCACTCCAGGGCAGCACAGATCCCGGCTACCAACGCCTTCCAGTCCAATCAAGTTTCCCTTCCTCACAGTGCTGTTTACCAGCCGCCACTGCCACCAACCCCTGCATCTGCTCTGTGTGGAAACGAAGAGGGCAGCCTGGGGTTGGCAGAGCAGCAAACGTGGAGCCGGCGGAGAGCAGATGGTGAGGCGAGTGGGGAGGGGGGCTCAGAACCAGCCCGGCTCTGCTCGTTCTCTGCTGAGTGTTCCCAGGACCGAGTGCTCTGCGGGGCGGCCACAGGTGGGCACATGCGGGTGCCTGGACAACATCTGAGAAGCTGATGGTCGGGGTTTTGTTTTAGTTTTGGGACCCAAGACAGGAGAGAAAAACAAAAGGACCCAAGACTGCAAGCGGGGGCGGCGCTCCCACAAGGTGGAAGCAGGAGTCACCGTCTGCAGCCTCCACCCGCCCTCACTTCGGGCAACTGACGCCATCCCCCCAACAGACTGGAGCAGCAAGCTTGAAGAGCCCTCATTAGCTGGGGACAGTGGCTGGGCCGCCACGTACCTGAAGGAAGAGGGCTCCTGGCGGATGGGTAGGGAGCTGGAGGGTGCTGGGGGCCCCCGGGCGCCCGTCCTGATGAGCTTCCCCGTGTTGGAGTCGTAGATCCGAACCTCGGGGCCAGGCTGGGCCTTGGGAAGAACCGGCATCGGGTGGAACAAGGCGGTGGGGGGCACACCCTCCCGGTCGGGAAAGGCCGCAGGGCTGTTCTCCCTGTCGGAGGAAGAGAACGAGGGCCATGAGCGGGGCGTCCGGGTGATGAGGGGCACTGCCCAGGTGCATGAACCAACAGCTGTCCAGCAAGGGAACGCCTGGCACGGACCTGCTGGGTGCAGCGAGGACCCACCTCTGTGCCTTGGTGTGATCGTCCCTGAGCGGGAAGAGCTGCTCCTCCACCTTGTCCCAGCGCTCCAGGCAGCTCCACAGCCAGTCAGGGTTGACCACGTGCAGGTGTCCGCACTCCTGTGCCTGCAGCACCTTCTCTGTGCCTGCAGGAGACCCGGCTGCGTCAGGCTGTTCCGGCCAGCACTGGAGGCTCAGGGCCCACATCCGGCTGCACCCACCAGGGCCCTCACCTGGCTGTACCCCACCAGGGCTCAGGGCCCTCACTCGGCTGCATCCCACCAGGGCCTTCACCTGACTGCACCCCTGCAGGGCTCAGGGCCCTCACCCAGCTGTACCCCACCAGGGCCCTCACCCGGCTGCACCCCACCAAGGCCCTCACTCGGCTGCACCTCTCCAGGACTCAGGGCCTTCACCCAGCTGTACCCCACCAGGGCTCAGGGCCCTCACTCGGCTGCACCCCACCAGGGCCCCCACCCGGCTACACCCCACCAGGGCCCAGGGCCCTCACCTGGCAGTACCCACCAGGACTCAGGGCCTTCACCCAGCTGTACCCCACCAGGGCTCAGGGCCCTCACTCGGCTGCAGCCCACCAGGGCTCAGGGCCCTCACCCGGCTGTACCCACCAGGACTCAGGGCCTTTACCCAGCTGTACCCCACTAGGGCTCAGGGCCCTCACTCGGCTGCACCCCACCAGGGCCCTCACCCGGCTGCACCCCACCAGGGCTGCCCACTGCAGGTTCCCATCTGCCAGGCCAGGGATAGGCAGCCATGGTGGGAAGGGGTGGATCTCAGACGGGGAGCCGGGCACAGCGGGTGACCTGAGCAGCAGGAGGACCTCTCTTAGCATGTGTTCAGCAAAGCCTCTCAACAGTGAGGCCACGTACACAGAAGCAAAAAGGAAACGTGAGCACAATTCAGGGGGAAGGAAGGAATGCGAGAGAAGGGCCAGGAGCTTGGGCACTCACAGGACAGGGCAGGCGGGCACCTGAGGGGCCAAGGAGGACCCTGGCCTGGCCCAGCTCCATGCTCAGGAGAGAAGGGTCAGGAGCTGGGCAGACACGCGGCAGGGCAGACAGGCACCTGAGGGGCCAAGGAGGACCCCGGCCTGGCCCGGCTCCACGCTCAGGAGAGAAGGGTCTGACTGCCCACAGGAGGCCAGGGCTTGGCTTTCTCCTGGGATCAAGGGTCTCGCTGGGCTCCACGGAAAGCCCGCCTCTGCCCTGCAGCTAGCACCTGGCTATTTCACACTGAGATGGAACCTTCCATTTACCCTTGATTCAAATGCTTTACTGAGCACATGCGTGTCCAACGCCCCATGATACGTGCCAGAGCCGTGGCCTCAAATAAGACCACACCTGCTGTCAGGGAGCGTGCGTGGACAGGGATGAGCTCACCCCACAAGGCTTTCCTGAGCCCCGGAGGCGGGGCCACGCACTGAGAAGCCCTCTCAGGAAACGCCGCCAGGACAGGAAGCAGATTGGAGGAGAAAAACCGCAATCTTCATTCGCGGAAAATCCAGGTGCTTATGGGAGCATTTTCACAGAATAACTAGAATAACGAGGTATTTGGGTTTTTTAAGCACCGGGGTGTTAAGTCTTCCTTCAAGAATCACCTATTGCTGAAAGGTTGTTTTATTCGGCGGAAGTTTCAACATGTCAGAGCAGCCTGCCCCGTCCGGGACAGGTTTCACCGTCGGGAGACAGCAGGCCTGTCCTCCGCCCTCCCAGCCACAACGTGTCCTTCTGTGCACGTTTCAGCTGAAACCTTGCATTTAGTTTTCTAACTCAGAGGGTTTGTCAATCTTTTACCTGCGAACTCCTGTTCCTGCCTCGAATTTCTCCACTACGTCCCTATCGCTGATTCCCTGTTTTCCAACCCGGCCATGGCTTACTCCAGGGAGAAGGTTGAACTTTCTACACACGAGTAACTCCCACCCCTGAATGGTGTGTGCGATGACTGCGGTCTGAAAGCATGAACGTGCCCAAACTCCAATTTCACCCACTGTCATGATCTATTCTTAAAAGATGGTGATTCTGGGAAATGTTTCTGAAAATTGAAAGTGAGATAAACAGCAATGCCAACTCTAAGGAGTGCCTGCAAGGAGCCCGCGGGCCTGACCATGCCCAGGGCACAGGGAGGCAGCACTCACCAGCTCGCGCGGCGATCAGGTGCGTGGCCCTGTCAGGGGCGTCGGGGCTCAGCACCAGCCGAGTGAGGATCTTCGCTCCCAGCGCCGTGGCGTGGTAATGCTCCCGCGTCTTCTCTATCGGGAAGTTTGTCGGGTGTAGCCCACTGAAAATTATGGCCACGTCTGCCAGCACCTTGCTCTTGAGCTCCGGCACGATCTTGCGGATGTCCGGCGCCTCCTCGATCTCCTTGTTGAGGTAGCGGTCATACTTGGCATAGTAGTCAGTGTGTACACGGACCAGGATCTCCTCCAGGTAGATGAGGTGGTCATCCTCATCCGTGTCCTCCTCCTCCTCCTCCTCCATGCTCTGGTCCAGGGACTCACCCGCAGTGACCCCCGACAGCTCGCTGTTCTGTGACTCGGTCTCCGCCTCCTTCCTGTCGGCACAGCCGTTGCCCAGGCCGCAGAGGCCATCCCGCTCGCCCTCCTCCTGCCCACCCAGCTCAGGCTCCTTGTCCGGGGCATGCGCGCCAGGCTCGGCCTCTCCGGGGAGACTCGGTGCTGCAGGCCGCCCCGGCTCCAGGGAACTGCCCTGTGCCAGCGCCCCGGCTCCCTCTGGGGCAGCCTTCGGCTTCTGCCGGCCTCTTTTCCCCTCGCTTTCGCCATCAGAGGCGGAGGAGGAGGACTTCGTGCCCTCGGACTCACTGCTGCTCTCGCTGTCGCTGGATAAGTCAAAGTCCAGGTCAGTGCCCGTGGCACCCTGGGCAGGCCGCTGTCCCGGTGCCACCCGGCCACCCTGCGCACAGGATCCCTGGGGCTCAGGAGCGCCTGCCAGCTCTTGGCTGCTGGTGGGGGCCTGGGCAGGGGGCCAGATGTCCCTCTCGTCTGGCTTCCCGGGGCGGGGTGAGTCCCGCGGGGTGGCGGCCTCGCTGCCGTTCAGCTCCCGTGCAGGCTTCTCCAGGCCATTGCTGGGCTCCACTCCAGGGGCCTGCGTTACCCCCTCAGGGTCTCTCACGGGCGGAGATGGCTCTGAGACCTCAGTGCCTCGAGAATGATTTACTAAATATGCATGCAAAAGGAAAAGTTACCGCAATTTAGCATTAAACATTAAATAACGTTCCAAGTTAAAGCAGCACCCTTCTCCATGGCTGTGAAGTCCACCACCCTCTAGACCAGGCCTTGGCAACCTTGCTGTGAAGAGGCCGGACAGGGTGAGCACCCCTTACCTGAAGTGCGTGGGACCAGGGACGTTTTGGATATTGAATTTTTTTCTGAGTTTGGAGTATTTGCGTTAAACTTACCAGCTGAACATCCCCAATCCAAAAAATCCAAAATACCCTAATGAGTATTTCCTTTAAGCACCATGTGGGCACTCAAAAAGCTTTGGATTTGGGGGAGGAGGGATCCTCCACCTGTAAGGACAACTAGAGGTTTCCGGGCTGCAGACCTGGCGCCACCGTGACCGTAAGCCCCTGCAGACCTGGCGCCACCGTGGCCGTAAGCCCCTGACGACCTGGCGCCACCGTGGCCGTAAGCCCCTGCAGACCTGGCACCACCGTGGCCGTAAGCCCCTGCAGACCTGGCGCCACCGTGGCCGTAAGCCCCTGCAGACCTGGCGCCACCGTGGCCGTAAGCCCCTGCAGACCTGGCGCCACCGTGGCCGTAAGCCCCTGCAGACCTGGCGCCACCGTGACTGTAAGCCCCGGATGACCTGGCACCACCATGGCCACGGTTTCCCAAGCCACGGTCTGGAGGAAGTCAGCAACTCCACGCTGACCCCACCCATCTGGTGAAAGTCTCTACCTTCTACAGGAATGCCCCTAGTTTCACCCTCCCCTGGTCCTAACCTCCAAGTTCCATTTTAGTGACTACAGCAATAAACGTGTGCCTCAAAATATTTTTCAAAAAACTAAAGATCAAAAAACACTTAACTTTCGTAGGGTGGACGTCAGCTGCATGCCTGACTGACAAGTTAAACCACGCTGCTCTCTGGGGCCCCAGCCAGCGCCCAGCCTGACCACTGCGCATGGGGAACGGTTATTCCCCGCAGAGCCACCGCCCCCACATTCACTCTCTCTACAGAACACTATGGCCCAATACCCAGGGATGTGTTTAAGGAAAACTGGGATGAAGGGAGTTATTCGGATGTGTTAGGTTAAACAGCATCCTCTAGTTTTTATTCAACTGGGAAAACGCTTAAGTGAGGGCCATTTTTTTTAAAGCCCAAATTGAAACAACCTAATATCCTGTTTTTCAGTACTCTATAAATAAATCCAATAATCTCTACTGAAACACAAATAAAAAAAGTGTATCTTGAATTTATAGCAGTCAAAACAGAGATAAGAAATAAGAAGAGCTAAACAATAAGCAAATGTGAATTCTTCTAGAGAATCAGGAAGGAGGTTACCCACCTTTCTTTCTCGTCTGAGATTCTCGGGACCCAGGGGGCGCATTCATATCACCCGTGCCCTGGAAGTATACATATTTCTTCACAGTTATCAGATTGGGGGCAAACTTCCAGACATCTTCTCGATCATCAATAATGCAAACCATTGAGTCTCCACAAGGAAAGAGATTTCTACAAGTGAAAATGCATAATTTACAAAAAATAATAATGAAAAGTTGTAGTCATTCATCTTGCCAAGCGTAACAGTTTAAGATTCTAATCCACATGTAACCAGCAGACAGCAGGTTAATCAGACGGACACCAACCGCCCCGAAGCCCTTTCTGTTTGGGTCGCATTTAAACCTCAGTAACATCTTCAGTGCTGTTTCCGATTCTCCTTCAGGCAGGAGTTCCCAAACTGTTTCTTAAAGCGCCAGAGTCACTATTTTAGGCATTACGGGCCACGGGGACGAAACCCAACTCTGACCGTGTGGGCGTGACCATGTTTCAATAAAACTTCATGTACAAACAAGGCTGGGTAGCCTAAAGGCCAGAATTTGCTGACTCTGTAAACAGACCAGGCTAGGCGCTGTGTGGCTAATGCCTGCAATTCCAGCACTTCGGGAGGTCTTGGCAGGAGGGTCTCTTGAGCCTAGGAGTCTGACACCAGCCTGGGCAACATAGGAAGACCCTGTCTCTACAAAACATACAAAAGTTAGACAGGTGTGGGGGTGTGCGCCCGTAGTCCCGGCTACTCAGAAGGCTGAAGTGGGAGGATAGCTTGAGCCCAGGAAGTCAAGACTGTGGTGAGCTGAGACCACACTACTGCACTTAAGCCTGGGCGACCGAGCCAGACCGTCTCAAAAACAAAAAAACAAAAACCAGACCCAGTGCTGATGCAGAATTTCTAAGCGGACCTCCAGCTACCTCCATGCAAACCACAGTACCCACCACTGGGGCCTATCCTGGGCATGTCCCCATTCGATCCTATCATTCTGCCTTCGGGTGACTTTTCCCTGTAACACACTAACAGCACCTCTCATTCTCTTTTGCCCTGATTAATCTACTCACTCTGGCGCTAACTAGCAAAAAGGAGGTTTCTGAAGTAAATACTTTCAGATTCTCTTCTTAGTTAACATTAGCAAGCATAGGTCTCACAGTCTGTGGGGACTGGCCACCGAGAACCAGGAAGTGGCTGAAGCTGAGGCTGTGGCCACCAGGCTCCTCGGGAAAACAAGCCACACCTGACATGGTGTTACATCAGCAAGGACGGACTTCCGGGTGGAAATGGGGAAACTCCTCGAATACAGTGGGCAAGAAACGTCAAAGCATATAAAAGAATATTAAAAAGTCTTTGCGGAGGGGCGGGGAGCGGCCTGCCCTGTCAAAAAGGCTCAGAGGAGCTGACAGGAAGGGGCTCTGGAGCTGATGGAAAGGAAGAAATGGCAAAAGGCAAAAATATGGGCATAATAGTCAAGTGACTTAGGATTTTGTAAATTATTAGTAGGATTAACACAAGCAAGCTCCTAAGAAAATTATCAACCTCAGATGCTGACGCTGATGTCAAGAACTGCCGCTAAACCAGTGGCCCCGCAGAGCTGCTGAGCTTGTGCGTGGGGTGGGGCTATTCACATTCCTCTGCCCACTCGGGTCCTTTCGACTGCCACCTCCCTGATGCCATCCCGTCCCTACGCCTGCCCTCCTGGGTTCTGGGCCCGAAAGTCCAGTCGCTGAGTTCCCCAGGAGCCCTGGCCATTCCCTGGATACTCAGAGGCAAAAGGGCCAAATCCTTCACAGCTGGCTACTGTGGGGACACACGCCTGCCTCCTGCCTCTCCAACCACAAATCTCGATGCCAGGTCTTCGCATAGGAATGAAAATTTGGAGGTCAAGGGACTAGAATGATCACATATGCCAGGGTTGGTTAAGCAAACAGATACACAACGTCAGGTGGCGGGCTGACATCGAATCAGTGCCGTCTGACAGAGATGAGGCAGAGAGGATGACAGATACACAACGTCAGGTGGCGGGCTGACATCGAATTGTGCTGTCTAACAGAGACGAGGCAGAGAGGATGACAGTCCCCGCCTCCACAGACACAAAAGCCCAGCTCAAGGGCAGTTTCAGGGCAGGACAGGGCTATTGGGATGGGGCAGAGCCTGGATTGGGGGCCCTGCACAAGCACCAGGGCTCAGGCACCTGGGAGACAGTGGGAGTACAGGTTAGAAAGGAACTTTCTAAGTATTCTGAGGCTAACAATGAAAACTGGAAAGGGGATGTTAAATTCCTAAAAAACATCAATACAGAAATACTGCTCTAGGCCGGGTGCAGTGGCTCATGCCTGTAATCCCAACACTTTGGGAGGCTGAGGCGGGAAGATCACGAGGTCAGGAGATCGAGGCCATCCTGGCTAACACAGTGAAACCACCGTCTGTACTAAAAATACAAAAAAAAAAAAAAAAAAAAAAAAAAAAAAAATTGCCGGGCGAGGTGGTGGGTGCCTGTAGTCCTAGCTACTCAGGAGGCTGAGGCAGGAGAATGGCGTGAACTCTGGAAGCAGAGCTTGCAGTGAGCCGAGATCGCGCCACTGCACTCTAGCCTGGGCAACAGCAAGACTCCGTCTCAAAAAAAAAGAAAAAAAGAAATACTGCTCTAAATTTCAAGATGCGATTTTTGAAATGGGAAATGAACAGCGAGGTCTTTGTGAGGAGCGCGGCTGGGTACATACCTAAGGTTTCCCGTTTTAGAAAATGGGTCAATACATTCATCCCTTGATAATATTCGGTGAGAAAAAAGCTTCTTCTCGGGGTCTAAAAAGCCTTGGAAAAGAAAACAGGACAAAGATTACATACCTGAGACACGTTTCGGTCACACGGCACATGGTGAAGCCTTGAATGTTTTTTTTAAAGTGGCAGACACACAACATGATGAACTGGCACCAAACACTTCATCCCTTTTGAGGTAAGACGTGGCTCGTGTGGGGCTTCTTTTCTCTTATGGTGAACTTATTTCTCAAACACAAACCATGTTGATAAGTGTTTATAATTCTACTAACATGAAAAATTTGTAATATCTTACTGAAGTGCCTATCTAAACCAGATGGATATGAAAATTATGGAAGGCACTTGCATAAGTAAAACAGGTAAGTCATCATTTGATCTCAAAACACTCTGCATGTGGTTCTTCACGTGATGGAGTCTGGACACTAAGCTGAAATTACTCTGCGTCACCTCGGATATGATCTTTCCTAACCCCAGGCGGGTGGCCCACTGCTCTCATCTGTAATGGTTAGTGGAGGAAAGGTTATCAAGGAAGTTTGCTTCTCCCAAGTTACTTTAGTAGAATTATACAAACTCACACTCTGTGTTGTAGAAATACACAGAAAGGCCGGTTATTTCTAACTATTATACACGTTTTAATAATGGTAATTTAGGCAACATCGAGGAAGCCTGCCTGACAGAGGAGACTGGGAAGGAAGGACATCCGGGACACCACCTTGACCAGCTAGTGCAGAAGGTGCTTCCACAGCGAAGAATCCGCTTAGGCTACATTTGACACTTGCACTTCACATGACATCCGTTAATTACAAGTCTAGTTTAACTTTTTAACAGTAATTTTCTAAAGAGCTTCACATGCTTGATGCTCAGCTTCGACTCCTTAAAGATAGTAAAACCAAGCTATCTGCAAACATCCCTTCTACACTTCAGGAAGCACCACTGTGAAAATCAACAAATCAGGCAGAGGTTTCTTGGGATCACCTCTGCTCTGGGTTTCTTGATCTATAAATTTATCTTCTGAACTTTAAGCCTACTGTGTTATCTTCCTAAGTTTGCAAAGTCTTCAATTTACAGTAAAGTGCTCATATTTTTAAATAAAGATAATTTAAAAATAAGTTATCTCTTGTTAGTTTACAAGAACCACAGAGTATATAGGAAACATATTTCAGTTTGTAGAAGTAGGGGTACTAAACAAAAACAAAACAACCTTTCAGGTAATTTATTCCATTGGTAAAATATGTTGGAGGCATCAAGTTCAATGTCAATTTAATTTCACCAGCCATTTAAAACATTCTGGAGAGAAAAAGCTACGGTTAATTATGAAGCCTCAAAAAGAAATGTTTCAGCTACTCATCATACAAGTGGCTGAAGCCATAAATCTGCACATACCTCAAGAGATAGGTATTCCATGGCACCCACATAACGTGTTTAAGGGTATTCGATCATTTAACATTTACTGAGTTTAACATTACTTGGAATTTTGCTAGGAATATAAGGTGCGGGAATGAATACAACATAATTATTACTCTCCCAAGAGGCTGAAATTGTAAGAAAATTGAACACATTAACACACAACCTCTATCTGGCCTGACACGTGCAGGTGCCGTGGAACAAAACGGGGACTGGATTGCACAAGAGTGAGCCGGTCCAGAGTCGGGAGCTGGGACTGTGGTCTTGTCATGGCACGCAGGTCCCCTGCATAACCGTTAGTTATGCATGAAGCAAAGGAGGTAGATGAGACATCTCAAAAGCACTGTGAACCCAAAGTCCAACCACGCAGCCCACATTCTCTCAAGACTTAAGTCTCACTGGAACGCCTGGCTCCACGCCTCTGCATGGCACACGGGGTCCACTTCCGGATCCGAATGCACCCCGGAACGCCTGGCTCCACGTCCCCACGTGGCACACGGGGTCCACTTCCGGATCTGAACGTGCCCTGACTGCACTCCACATAATCACTATTGTTTTCACGCTGGCTTTTAATCAACTACTCCCTGCACCCATCCCTACTGGGCTCAACCTCTGCACCACCACCTCTGAGATCACAAATGCGAGAAACACATTTGCTGTTTTTGATACAGGTTAAAACATACACATTACAATTAAAACAGAAGAGCTGCTCTGTGCACCACCTCAGTTACCCTGCAGCCCCACGGCACTATGCACAATGCACTGTGGGATCCGTAAGATCTTCTGGGAAGATGAACCTGCTTCCTGGCTGAAGCATCACCACCTCCAGACGTTTCAAATGCAGTACTGCCAGGAGCTTTCCGTTCCCTGATACCACTGGTTTGTTAGTATTTCATTAACCAAAAGATACTTGGGCTTAAAGGAGAAATAAATGCGATTGTTTCTCACTATGCGTAAATTCCAGATGATCACTGAGGCCATGAAGTCGCTAGATCTAAAGTCTGTTAATAGAATTATTAGCGTCTCTACTATCAGATAAAAGACACGCATCGCAAACTCTTAACATCTCTGTCCTAGTCATACTGAAAGCACGCATGCTATCAACACGGTCACTTTCAAAATGAAAAGCATCAAAAGCAGATGCTCGGCGACCACCTCAGGCTTCAGTCCGGACCTCACTTTCTCACTTGTAGAAAAGCTGACCCAGGTCATCTCTACAGATCCCGCCAGCCACAATGAAGCAAAGCTCGGCCTTCCTGAACCACAGCCTGGACACAGTCTTCCTCCTGCGTTGCTGGGCTCGAGGGCCCATGTTCTGTTGAGAATTTCTGCATCCATGTTCAAAGGGATACTGGTCTGCAGTTTTCTTGTGATGTCTTCGTCTGGTTTTGGCCGACATCCCTTGGACACGTTGGAATGCTGGAACTTTAGCATAGAAAGCAGAGCTTGAAACGGAGAAGGCACCAGACGGCCCGGTGACGCTCAACAAACCTAGCTGGTCTCACTGCAGGAGGACCCGCGCTCGAGGCTCTCCGCAGCCAAGCGCCCACCAGCAGGCTCCCTGCTCTGCTGTCTAAGCGGCTCAGAGGCCTGCGGATGTCTGCATGGATGCTCTGCTGAATCTGCGAGCAGCTCCCAGGCTCCCTCCAGCTTTCAGGCTGATAAAGAAACATGGCGTTCTCGTCACCTGCTTCATCTCTCACCACACGAGGCCTCATGAACGTGGAATCAGACTGTGGTGACCCATACCCTGCCTGCTGGTGTGACGGGTGGCAAGGGTGTAGCCCGGCTAAAACCTGGGACCCTCTGCTTTTAGCCCAAACCCCTCCAGCCAAGCATTTAAACAGATCCGAGCCTTCCACATGCTCCTCCTCACTGGGGCTTGTGTGCTCTGACCAGCAAACATCGATGCACCTCAGGAAAGGATAAGCAAGACGTGTGAAACAGCGAACCTAAAGAAGCCCAGCTTCAGAGAGAGACCTGGAGAAGGAAATCCGAAATGAGAAACACTTGCACGGGCACCAGATCAACGTATGGAAGACGGGACAGGAGGAGAAGAAACATCACTGGCATCCTGGACTCAGACGTGCAGGTCACCGGGCTGTGCCCGCTGGTGTGCGCCTTGTGTGGGAGGCGGGAGGCAAACCCGTCACCCTCCCAGGGAGCAGGCCATGCGGCGTGCAGTCCTCACAGTCCTGGGGGTCAGGAACCACTCCCTCACCGAACAATCCTGGTTTTAGGAACTCACCCAGAGGATCCAGTCCACAGAGGAGGGAAAAAAATCTTACATAAAATGATGAAGATTTATAACAACGTGATGGATAAATTCTTAGTGATGAAATCTTATGTGAAAAGAACGGTATGTAAACTTGTACATATATTAAGACAAACTAGGCAAAATTATACATACAAAAAAAAAACCAGAGAATAGGGGACAGCCATGGATATGATGAGCGTGAGGAATAATTTTCTGGTTTTTAGTCTTTCCCTGACATTTGTTATTGTGAGAGTGATGCCCCGCTCAGTTGTCTGGTTTGAGTGGGCGTCACTGTCCCTGCGGTTTGTGTGACTTATGGGTTGTCCTCTGGGAGGTGCCTGGCACTGGCTGCAACGGCACAATCTGGGGCTGGAACACATGGGGATTTGGGGGTCTATTTCCACACAGTGGGCAGCTTAGTCGGCCTGGGCTGCTCTAAAGAAACTCCATAGTGTGGGTGACTCAGGAACACACGTCCCTTCCTCACAGTTCTGGAGGCCGGCGTCCGACCACGGCGCCAGCAACTTGGCTGCAGGTCAGTGGGCGCCGGCTTGCTGCATTTCCCGCAGCTCCCAGGGCCCACCTGGGTAAGGGCCCTGATTCCATTCACGAGGATGGAGTCCACAGGACCTCACCACCTCCCACGCCCCTCCTAACACCCTCGCCCTGGGACTGGGTTTTAACACATGGACTTGGGGGCTGTAAAACCCTCAGATCATAGCAGGCATTATTTCTTCACTGGCCCGAGGAAGTGAGCAATATCACCCTTGTGCATAATTACTCGTCTTCACATCATCTGTCTCAGGCAGCTATGCAGCAGCAGCCATAATGTTACAGGTGAATATTTCAAATTTCAATTACAAGAGGAATTAAAGGTCATGATCACAATTTCCTATAAAGGCACTAAATATTAAAGGAGGATTCAAAATTCATTTCCCCAACAACAACAAAAGACTAAGACCAATCTAGAAAGACCTTTGAATTTTAAAATGCTCAGTCTAACAACCTCTGGAGCCAGTACGGAGGAGCTTGCCTACACTGCCACTCGGCGCCTACATCCATGTGGGACAGACGGTCGCCGTCCCGTGGCAGCCCCCTCGCTTTGTCCACGTGGGACAGACGGTCGCCGTCCCGCACTGTCCCCTTGCTTCGTCCACGTGGGACAGACGTTGCTTCGTCCACGTGGAACAGACGGTCGCTGTCCCACTTTGTCCCCTCGCTTTGTCCATGAAGGACAGACGGTCACCATCCTGTGGCGTCCCCTCACTGCATCCACATGGGACAGTCACCGTCCCGTGGCACTGTCCCCTCGATTCGTCCTGCTGGTGCTGCCTCCCAGAGGGCACCGTAGCCTGGCATTCACGCTATCACCCAGGGAGACAGAAGCAAACGCTAAACCCTAAGGGTACCCATGTGTAGGCAGGGGACAATCATGCTGTGTGCAGTGACAGCACCCAGCAAGAGCACACACAAGCAGCCCGGCCCAAAGTCCCTGTGAACTGATTTAAGAAGGTATCTGTCGGAGGACGCTCGCAGAAGTTTCCACGTGCCCATGTGGTCCTGACAAACTCCCAAAGCGGCCCACCCAGTACCGCACCCGGCCAGAGCAGCCGCGGCCCCACCCAACAGCCCTGGTGGCAGAATTCCCTTACCTCTCACAACCCCCTGCACAACGGCCAACCCTAAGACTACAACTGAGTTGCAGGAGAGCTTCTTTTCTTTCTTCATCTTTAAGAAACCATCACCGAAAACAGGAAAGAAACCCACTGTTCACACGGCCTCTTCGGCTGCGGCTTGACTGACCTGCGATGGTGTGTGCGTACAGCCGGCTGCCGAAGGTGAAGACGTGCAGCTCGTACAGCTTGGCGATCTTCTCCAGGAAGTCCTTGCAGTGTGGACGCAGGCGCGTGTGCAGCATGGGCTCACCCCGGCCCAGCTGGAAGTGAAAGATGCCCTAAAAAGAATAGTAGCAACAGTCGGGAGAAAAGGCCTGAGGAGCCCCGGCCGCCCCCGCAACCTGTGTGCCCGAGACAGGCATCCTGAGAACACACGTGTGCCCCAGACAAGCGTTCTGAAGACACGCGTGTGCCCGACAGGCGTCCTGAAGACACACGGGTGCCTGAGACAGGCGTCCTGAAGACACACATGTGCCCATCCCTCCACATGGGACAGAGGATACACGTTTGCATGTACACGCCCCTCCACACGGGACAGAGGACACATGTGAGCATGTACACGCCCCTCCACACGGGACAGAGGACACGTGTGCGTGTACACGCCCCTCCACACGGGACAGAGGACATGCGTGTGTACACGCCCCTCCACGTGGGCATGGGACAGAGGACATGCGTGTGGACACACCACTCCACGTGGGACAGAGGATGCGTTTGCACCCGCCCCTCCACATGGGACAGGGGATAGGAGTGTGCACACACCTCTCCACGTGGGACAGAGGACGCATGTCCGCCTGACCCTCCAAATAAGGACGTGACCCTAACTGGTGCAAGGGGCTACCCGTGGCATTTAAAACCCACTGTGTAAGTAGTTTCCATGCACGCGGTACGAGTGAGTGAGTGCGGCCTTCTCTGCTGCGGGAATGCCCTCAGTGAGTGTGAATACTGACTGCCCGTGGTAACTAGGATAACCACCTACCTGCAACAACTGTTCAAGATAACCACCCTGGGTACCACGTTAACAGTAACAGCCTACGGTAACTACATGATAACCACCGATGACAGCTACACTAACTACTCACAATAGCTACCTGCCTGCAACGACCCGCCTAGGATAACCACCCCCGATAACCAGCCAAGAGTAACAGCCTGTGATAACTACACGATAACCATCCCCAATAACCACGCCAACAGTCACCACCTATGATAACTACATAACCACCGATGATAGCTACACTAACTACTCCTGGTAACTACCTACCTGCAACGACCGCCTAGGACATAACCACCCCTGATAACCACGCCAACAGTAACAACCTACACTAACTATGAGCTAACCACTGATGTCACTTCTGCCTTTGTTTCCTCGCTGATACGTGTTACACAGCAAGGCCACCGCAGCTGCTCGGAACAGACCTCCACCAACATCACGTGCTGACAGTGTTTTCCTGAGCTACTGAATAAAGGAAATCAACATTCCCGGGTAACCTGGTATAACGCATGGGTGATTTTCAGACAGTTTCTTTCATCTACATATACAACATAAAAGCTGAAAGTATTCTAAGTCATATTTAGTAGACAGTGAAATGAGCAACACCGACTCGCTTACATATGATCGACATGCAAATGAGTCTGCTTTCCTTAGGAAGCTAAACTTCGATCCTTTAAATCCTGTTATTTTCTCAGTAAAATATTTACTCTTAATGGCTTTAAAAAAAGGTAGATGACTTAAGCTCAGTTACATTTTTCTAGTTCTAAGTTAGTTACGACCCTCATGAAGAAGCTACTCTGTTCAAGGTTTAGGAGTGAGAAGTTCTAGTAACAACTTTCCCAGTTACATTTTTCTAGCTCTAAGTTAGTCACGACCGTCATGAAGAAGCTACTCTGTCAAATATTTAGGAGTGAGAAGTTCTAGTAACAACTTTCCCATTACTCAACAGTAAAAAGTCCAGCAGCTGTCCAGGCTTCGGGAGCTGTGGCCAGCACCACTTCTGATCCCTGAAATTGCTTTCAGAGGGGCCAGCAGTAGGGCCAGGCACCAGCCTCAGGGTCTCCTCTGGATGTCAAGTGGGGCACACTACTGCTACTGAGGAGGCAGAGGACAGACCGTTCATGCTTAGACCCCCCTCCCCACTACATCAGGACACTGTCACCTTCCAGACCACACAACTGAGAAACAGCCACATTATAACTAGACTCCACTGTCTTCAGCAGGCCTATCCTGGAGATACTGAGAATCACATGAATTTTTTGGTTTCCCAGTGAATATAATCCATGCTGACACTCTACTGCAGCTTATTAAACATTCAATAGCATTATATCTAAAAGAACAATGTACCTAACTTAATTTAAAAATACTTTATTATTAAAAATCACCGGGCGTGGTGGCTCAATGCCTATAATCCCAACACTTTGGGAGGCCGAGGCGGGAGGATCACTTGAGGTCAGGAGTTCGAGACCAGCCTGGCCAATATGGCACAACCCCGTCTCTACTAAAAATATAAAAATTAACTGGGTGTGGTGGTACACGCCTGTAGTCCCAGCTACTCGGGAGGCTGAGGCACAAGAATGGCTTGAACCCGGGAGGTGGAGGTTGCAGGATAGAGAGATCGTGTCACTGCACTCCAGCCTGGGCAACCCAGCAAGACTCCGTCTCAAAAAATTAAAAAATAAAAAATAAAAAATAATTTTATGATTAAAAAATGCTAACAACCATCTGAACCTTCAGCAAGTCATAGTCTTTCTGTCGGCGCAGGGTCTCACCTTGATGCTGATGGCTGCTGACTGATCAGAGGGGTGTTTACTGAAGGCTGGGGGTGGCTGTGATGATTTCTTGAAATAAGATGACAATGAAGTTTGTCCCATCAATCAACTCTTCCTTTCACAAAAGGTTTCTCTGTAGCATGCAATGCTGTTTGACAGCGTTTTACCCACAGAAGAACTGCTTTCAAAACTAGGAGCAATCCTCGTAGACCCTGCCGCTGGTTTACCAACTAAGTTGATGGAATCTTCCAAATCCTTTTTGGTCATTTCAACAACATTCGCAGCATCTTCTCCAGGAGCAGATTCCATTTCAAGAAACTACTTTCTTTGCTCATCCGTAAGAAGCAACTCCTCATCTGTTCGAGTTTCATCCTGAAGTTGCCGCAGTTCAGTCATCTTCAGGCTCCACTCCTAATTCTCTCGCTATTTCCACCACACCTGCAGCTCCTTCCTCCGCTGGGGTCTCGAAGCCCTGGAAGTCATCCATGAAGGTCAGAATCAACATCTTCCGAACTGAGGGTTGGAATCGACATCTTCCCAACTCCTGGTTGATGCAGATACTCTGACCTCTTCCCATGAATCACAAATGTTCCTGGTGGCACTTGCAATGTCACAATGGTGAATCCTTTCCAGAAGGATTTTCTGTTTGATTTTCCCAGATTCATCAGAATTGCTCTCTAAGGCAGCTCCAGCCTTAGGAGATGTAGCTCTTTTATTTATTTATTTATTTATTTATTTATTTATTTATTTATTTAATTTATTTATTATTTTTTTTGAGATGGAGTCTTGCTCTGTCACCCAGGCTGGAGTGCAGTGGTGCGATCGTGGCTCACTGCAAGCTCCGCCTCCCGGGTTCACGCCATTCTCCTGCCTCAGCCTCCCGAGTAGCTGGGACTACAGGCACCCGCCACCACACCCGGCTAATTTTTTGTATTTTTAGTAGAGACAGGGTTTCACCGCATTAGCCAGGATGGTCTTGATCTCCTGACCTCGTGATCCACCCGCCTTGTCCTCCCAAAGTGCTGGAATTATAGGTGTGAGCCACCGCGCCTGGCCAGGAGATGTAGTTCTTAAATAATAAGACTTGAAGCTGGAAATCATTTCTTGAGCCCTGGGCTGCAGGGTGGATGTGGTGTCAGCAGCATGAAAACAACATTCCTCTCCTGTACGTCTCCATCAGAGCTCTTGGGTGACCAGGTGCATGGTCAATGAGCAGGAATATTTCTTAGAAGAATCTCTCTTTCTGAGTAACAGGTCTCAAGAGCGGGCTTAGAATGGTCAGTAAACCATGCTGTGAACAGAGGTGCTGTCATCCAGCCTTTGTTGTTCCATGGATGGAGCACAGGCAGAGGAGATTTAGCATCATTCTTAAGGGCCCTGGGATTTTCAGAATGGCAAATGAGCACTGGCTTCAACTTAAAGTCACCAGCTGCATTAGTTAGTCTCCAACGAGAGAGTCAGCCTGTCCTTTGAAGCCAGACACTGACTTCTCCTCTCCAGCTATGAAAGTCCTAGACGGCATCTTCTTCCAACAGAAGGCTGTTTTGTCTGCACTGAAAATCTGTTGTTTAGCGTGTTTAGTTTCATCAGTGATCTCAGCCTATCTCCAGGGGAACTTGCCGCAGTTTCTCCAACAGCACCTGCTGCTTCACCTTCACTTTTGTGTTACGGAGACGGCTTCTTCCTTCACCCTCATGAACCAACCTGTGCTGGTTTCCAGCTTTTCTTCTGCAGCTTCCTCACCCCTCTCAACCTTCACAGAATTGAAGACAGTTGGGGCCTTGCTCTGGATTAGGCTTTGGCTTAAGGGAATGTTGTGACTGGTTTGATCTTCTACTCAGACCACTAAAACTTTCTCTTTCTCAGCAATAAGGCTGTTTCACTGTCTCATCATCTGTGTGTTCACTGAAGTAGTATTTTTAGTTTGCTTCAAGAACTTTTCCTTTGCATTCACACCTTGGCTGTTTAGTGCAAGAGGACCAGCTTGCAGCCTTTCCTGGCTTCTGGCGTGCATTCCTCACTAAGCATAATCACGTCTACCTTTTGATTTAAAGTGAGAGACTGGTGAGCCTTCCTCCCACTTGAACACTCAGAGGTCACTGTAGGGTTACTACGCTGGCCTAATTTCAATACTGTTATGTCTCAGGGAATAGGGAGGCCTGAGCACCGGGACAGAGACAGGGAATGGCCAGTTGGTGGAGCAGTCAGGACACACACATCTACCCATTACGTTTGCCGTCTTATGTGGGTGTGGTTCGTGGCACCCCAAAACAATGACAACAGTGACCTCAAAGATCACTGACCACAAATCCCTATAGCTGACAGAACACTGATGAAGCAACTATGACAACAGTGACCTCAAAGATCACTGACTACAGCTCCCTGTAACAGCAGAGCACTAACGAGGAGGCTGAAGTACACGGGAAATTTCCAGAGCGTGGCACAACACCTGGGGGCACATGCTGCTGGAAAATGGCACCTGCAGACGTGCTCGCCAGGTTGCTCCGAGCCTCCTCCCTGTGAACACAGTATCAGTGAAGCACCATAAAATGAGGTGTGCCTGTAAAACTCACTCAATGCCCAACTTCAAAGGCACAATAAAAGCAGGAAACAGCCACAGCAACTCATGAAGGTATATGTGTGCAGAATGTATTTTCATAAAGTCCTTACATCCTTCAAAATACCTAGTTTGTCAGAAAATAGGCATTAAAAAAAAAACCTTGGGCGGGCGCGGTGGCTCATGCCTGTAATCCCAGCACTTTGGGAGGCCGAGGCAGGCGGATCACAAAGTCAGGAGATTGAGACCATCCTGGCTAACACGGTGAAACCCCGTCTCTACTAAAAAAAATACAAAAAATTAGCCAGGTGTGGTGGCGGGCACCTGTAGTCCCAGCTACTTGGGAGTCTGAGGGAGGAGAATGGCGTGAACTCGGGAGGTAGAGCTTGCAGTGAGCCAAGATCCTGCCACTGCACTCCAGCCTGGGTGACAGAGTGAGGCTCTGTCTCAAAAACAAACAAACAAAAAACCTTAGTGAGTAGAGTAGCGGGTATGAACGAAGCAATCTGAAAATATCTAGTCACAGTTTATACTGCACAGAAGAATAGACTGCTGTGTAAGATGCCACGAGACACACAAATGACTAACACAGCCAGAAATAGAAGCTGTTTTGTGGGTTAGACCTGAATTCCGGCCCTAAACAAACTCCTGTGCAGCACGGCAGTTACTCGATTCTCTCCATTCTGCAAACAGCATAAAACGCGAGAGTTTGTGCCACCTGGGGGGTCTGTGCAGCTCACCCTGACCACCTGACTGACTTACAAGGCCAAACTTAACCAAACTTCTTCCAGATGAAGCTTGTCACAAATTTGACTTATGTGTAACTGTCATCAATCTGTCCCAGCTGTTGGTACCACGCCCCGGCATTCAGCAGCGGAGGATGCCCGGCTCCGTGGTGCATCCTCCAGCCTGCTGGGTGTCTGCTATTGGGACCTGCAGGATCCCCAGGAACCTTTAGAACTGGTAAGGTCAGAACTGATGGGCCTCTGAAATCCCAAATCTAACGCCAGAGTCCACATACTGTTCAATAGCAAACACTTAAAAAACAACTCAGTGTTGGTGAGGGCCTCCCTGATGGCCACCGTCTAGGCCGACACAAGCCTCTGCGCAAGCCTCTGGGCACAGACATTCAAAGCCTTCGGTCTAGAAATTCAGCTTCTCTGGTTCCATCCTGAGGACACAGCTGAGGCACAGGAAGGGTTTCGTGTGCATTAAACAGGGTTCTGCCCTCACCCTGCATTTCCCCGTGTTTCCCCTGGAGAATGTACGCTGGTCACCTCCCACCCAGGCTTTTCCTCCAGCCCAGTTCTCCCAAGCACAAACCCAGGCGTCCACCTGCCCTTGACATCCTAGCAACATAAAGGCATCCAACACCAACGTCCTCCCCACCAAGACTGCCCCTCTCAGGACACGCCTCGCACCATCCACCACACCATCCTCACAGGCTCGGGACGTTTCTGCCTTCTCCGACATCGTGCCGGGCAGGCACACAAAGGGTTCCCACACACACGGAAGGAAGCGTGAGACACAGTGGGCGTCGGGATGTCTGCCCGGGAGCCGCGGATGCTCCCCAACAGCCCAGCAGACACACGGCCCACGCCCAGAACTAGCAAGTCTGCTTTCCAAACCCAGGCTGACCTACGGGAAATCATCTAAAAAACAAGAGAACACACTTCTGAATCAAAATTCTAGGACCCGCGGTTCCTGGGAAACTGTCCGTAGATGCTGACTGCACTCACTTTATTCGACATCTGCTGACAGTGCTGCTCGGTTGTGTGAATCAACGTCTGGTCCAAGTCCACCATGAGCACCAGCTTCCGGTTTCGGTGCAGTCGCTGCTGGTCTTCTCTTCCCAGCTGTTCAGCTTGCTACAATTAAAAAGAAACAAGAAATGACAAAGTCAGTATGTTTGCATCCAAGGTAAAACTCCATTTCATCGAGAAACACAAAACTATATCAATGTGTTCCCCTCCAGCCCCCCACGCTCCATGGACTGCGCCGTACAGGCCGAGAGGCAGGGCTGGGTCACCAACCTGGTCACGGCAACCTCGCTTGTGACCACAATTTTATAATTCAGTTAAATACATGAGCCAATGAAAACGGAGGGGGAAGGGAAACTGGTTGTTTCTATAAAAGCTGGATTCAACAGTATGGAGTGCTCAATAAAAGTGAACTGCAAAATTAATGAAGAAACCAAGTCGGCCGGCTGGGAGACGCTGGGTGGCCCAAGCTGGGCAGCAGAGACTGGTAAGGGCAATGCGCTCAGAATCTCCCGCGCTCAGAACCTTCCACGCTCAGCCTATTCTTGTGCCTCGAAGAGACCCGGGGGCCTGGCAACAGCGCATCGGGGTGTCCCTCCACGCGGGGCCCAGAGTGGAGCTCCTAACAAGGGCCCGGTCACCCCGGCATCAGGAGCCCGGCATGGGACACGGGATGTGACGCACCACGCTGCCTTTCTCACTGTAACTGGCCCTCACTCTTCACAACAAAATCCTGGTCCCGCTCAGGGGGGACCTCCTCCCGTGCCCATCCCCGAAGGGAAACGCACGGAAGGGCTGGCAGGTGCCAGAAAGATGGGGGGTACTTCCTCCTCCCTTCACCCTCAAACTTGCCAGCTTTGGTTTACGCATACACATTTTACATTTGTTTAAAGTTTGGTAATTCAGAAAACCCAGAATCCTGTATCTGGCATTTTGCTTTTCCCATAAAAAGATAGACTGAAATTGGTGTCCATCATTTAAAAGCACGAATTTACTAAAATCGTAACACTGGAAAGTGTTTTACCTATTTACAAAACTGTGCAGCCCTGAAAGTCTGTAAGATCACAAACTAGTTTTTCTCAGCTCCCAGAGCATTTTCACCCACGGGGTGAAGCGAGGTCGGGGAGACGGTGTCTGCCTCAAGCACAGGAGGTGCCCGGAGCCGCTGACCCACAGTGCCCCAGCAACTCCTGAAATACATAAACGAGGCGTAGCACTCGAAGATAAAAACCCATCTCACTCTTAACTGGGCACGTGAACACCTGCCCGTCCTCTCCACCCTGCGTACCCCCCATGGGCTCTCCTGTCGGCTACAAGGCAAACACTCCTGGGACCCCCAACCCGCCCCTGCATGTGCCCACTCTCCCGAGCCAGCTTCCCAATGGTGCCAGCAGCAGCCGCTCCTGTAGCCAACAAGGTGCTACCAACCACGTCCCCCCGCCCCTACCCCCGGCCACCGACTCCTCGCCATTATCTGCCCCAATATGCGCTTTGCCCTCCCGGGTCATCCAGCACATGCCTCGGCAGCGCGGCCACCTCCTGAGCTCCATGAGCAGCTGTCACATCCCTCCCCAGTTAGGACTTGGCTCAAGGGAACCCAGGCTGAGCCTGGCTGTTCACAGCTGCGGCGGCAGCACCTGGTGTTCCCGACACGCAGGTCACACAGCCTCGGGGCCCTGAGTCGCTTTTGCAGGCAGACTTGTCTGTGGAGAACCAAGGGCAACCGTCCCTGCTTCAGGAAGGCCGCAGTCCCATAAGTCATCCGTGTGATGAGGGGTTGTTTCAGTAACGACGATGACAACCACACGTCCGTGCTTCTGCAGCCACCCTCCTCCTGCAGCCGCCCTCCTCAGAGCACCACGCTTCCCCAACACGCCGCCACTGATGCCCGGCTCACCTCGGAGCTCACCATCAACTCCGGCACGCTGTGCACCATGGACACGGTCGCCGTGGACAGCGGCACCTGCTGCTTCCCGTTCTTACTCTGCAACCTGCAAGTGCAAGGACAGGTTCAGGGCTTTCAGCTGAGTCTCTGCGCACAGATGCACACTGGGCTCTAAGTGACAGGATTCTAGCTGATGTTTTAACGGACACACGCTGCTATCTTAGCACAGACTTGATTCTGTCGGCAAACGTGGAAACATTCTCCACAGACAGGAAAACTGGTGGAAACACTGAGCTCGTGGCCACACTCATGAACACACAGAGCCATAGTCCTTCATGAAAACAAACTGCAAAGTCACACAGAAGCAGAAACAGGCCCTCAACCATGAAAACGCAGAAAAAGTAGCTGCCGCACCTCCCACTTGGCATTAGAGGTAAAGCAGCCCCCAGCATGGGGCGCTCAGCGGCCCAGAGGGAGGGGCTGCTCCAGGCACTCAGCGATCTGCGTCTTCAGTCAGGAGAAAACAGGTCTCGGCCCTCCAGCATGCCCCCCCACCACACCTGAGAATGGCATGAGGCTGGGGTCACAGAGCAGGAAGGACTGCCTCCAGGGAAACCCATTGAGTGTGACTCGTATGGGGCCCAAGGGAGGCGTCTGCATCTGCCGCTGGGAAACCAAGGGCCTCACTGTGTTCCCAGCACAGCTTCTCGGACTCCCCGGAGGCCACCACCTCGAGCCCCAGCAGGCAGCGATCTCACTCTTCCGGATACTTACTGGGTGAGGTCTTGGCCACATTCAGCACACAGGCCTTTCATGACAACCGGGTGGCTGCATCCTTCCAACCTCACCAGAACCGCTCTACAAAAAAACACAAGGGGAACAACACTTTAAAATCTCTTGGTTTATCAAAAGAGCCCCCAAGTAAGAATTTTAAAATCTAGGTTTTTGTACCAATTCTACACTAACCCTTGCATAACTTTGTAGGCAGGTGACATCACCCCTTGAGGGCATTTCTTTGTCTATAAAATGAAAGGACTTTCCACCTACAGGTGTCTCTCATGAAAAATGACACGCCACCACACCTCACCACCCCCGTGCCACCCGTGGAACAGCTGAAAAAACTAAGGATGTCTGGTCCAAAGAGGAGACTTGGGGATAACATAAAGTTGTCTCAAAACACACTATTTATATGTGATCCTCTGACATTTCCGTTAGAGAATTTATAAAATCTAAAACTTTCATATCATTCCCAGTCTAGACAGAGGCTGATGCAACTACATTTTCCTGACAAAATGACTGTAATGTTCGTTTTATATAAACACAAACTGTTTTATTTGTCCAAACAGTGGTCTTCTGGCAGAAGCCATGGAAGAAGTGCTGAAATCTGAAGGCTATGAGACCAGAGGCCGCCTGGCACTCAGCGCCCGCCCCTAGGTGCCCTCAGCCCCCACACTCCCACCCCAGCCGGGCTGCTCCGACCGCCCCACCCTGCGAACATGAGACCACCCAGCACTCAGCGCCTGACCCTAGGTGTCCGCAGCCCCCACACTCCCACCCCAGCCGGGCTGCTCCGACCACCCCACCCCGTGGACATGAGACCGCCCAGCACTCAGCGCCCACCCCTAGGTGCCTGTAGCCCCCACACTCCCATCCCAGCCGGGCTGCTCCGACCACCGCGCCCCGCGGACACGAGGCTGCCCGGCACTCAGTGTCCCTAGGAGCTCGCAACCCCCACACTCCCGTCCCAGCTGGGCTGCTCCGACCACCCCACCCCGTGGACATGAGACCGCCCAGCACTCAGCGCCCACCCCTAGGTGCCTGTAGCCCCCACACTCCCATCCCAGCCGGGCTGCTCCGACCACCCTGCCCTGCAGACATGAGGCCGCCCAGCACTCAGCACCCGCCCCTAGGTGCTCACAGCCCCCACACTCCCGTCCCAGCCGGGCTGCTCCGACCACCCTGACCCGCGGACATGAGACAGCCACCCAAGCTGCATCTGTCAATGGGACCTTTCCAGGCGGGATGCCCCATGGCCCACCAAGACCCCCAGCCATGTCATCGAGAGGGCGCAAGGATCAGGCCACAGGCGGAAACAAGGCGGAGCCACATCCTCCATGCCCACTGTGCCATGGCAGGCTGTGCTGGGAGACTGGGAGGGGCGGGTCTGCAGCCTGCATCCTGCAGGGGAGCGGAGGGGCGGGTCTGTAGCCTGCATCCTTCAGGGAGACTCGGAGGGGCGGGTCTGTAGCCAGCATCCTGCAGGGAGAATGGGAGGGGCGGGTCTGTAGCCTGGAGGGGAGTGGAGGGGAGTTCTTCCTGGGGAGGAGGATGGGCGTGTGCGGATCACCCTGGAGGAGGAACGGTGCTGAGGACACACGGTGCGGGGCTCCGAGCCCTCGGGGATGGAGTGGGCTGCCGGTGACTATCAAGAATCTGAGCTCCTCCGGGTCCTGGGCCTGTGCGTACACAGTGCATGTGCAACACAAATGGATTCCGCGTTTACTCACGTCCCATCCCCAAGACATCTCGTCATGTATACGTGCAAATATTCCAAAATCCAAAAAAACCCAGAAATCCAAAACACTTCTGTTTCCAAGCAGTTTGGATATGGGAGACTCAACCTGTATCAGGTTTTTTTCTTAAACCAGACAACAAAATAGTGACACCTTGTTTGAAAAAGTGTGTTAAACTTTCTAAGGTGACAAGTATGATTTCCTTAATTTTATCAAAATACTTTACAATGAATGATTAGAGTTCTGCCCTAAAATGCCCCAATGAGCAGAGACTTAACCTAAAAACCCAATCTCTGAAAAAAAACAAAAACAAAAACAAAAAAAACGCACAAACCCCACACTGGACCATCCTCCCTCCCGGTCACCACACCTGCTCAAAGACACTGCCAGGCTTCACAGGCCTCAGGGACACCTGCTCCCTGCTTGCTGAGGCCACAGGGGCCATCCCCGCCCAGGAGTCTGTGTCCCTACCGCCATCGCACTCGGGGCCTCCACATCCAGGCTCCTCTCCGATGCCTGGCAGCCCCCAACTCCCCGGCTGAGCTGTTTTCGTCCATCCACAGGGCTCTGCGGCCCCACCGCCAACACCCAAACCCAGTCCTCCCAATGGCCCCACGTCCTTTCCCTGGGCACTGCTCCCCCAGTCCTGGCAGCAACCCCACTTGGGAGCCCCAGCCCCTCTAACAGGCTTCCCTGGTCTCCAGCTGACATCATTTTGCAATCAGCCTTCTGCAAGGAAACTCTGCACAGCTCCTGCCCCACACAGGACACCAGCTCATGGCAGGCTCCTCATTCTACCCCCTGCCCCACACAGGACACCAGCTCACGGCGGGTTCCTTGCTCTACCCTCTGCCCCACGCAGGACACCAGCTCACGGCGGGCTCCTCGCTCTACCCCCTGCCCCATGCAAGACACCAGCTCACCGCGGGCTCCTCCTTGCTCTACCCCCTGCAAGGGGAAGAGAGGGAAAGGAATCCTCAAATATGAACTAGGAGGATTTTGCCAATCTCTCCTAAACATGTTAACATGAAGAAGGATCTGGGGTGGCTCTAGTTTAACCAATAAACAGGTGTTTTTTTGTAGAAATTGACAAGTTGCTTCTGAAATTTATATGGAAGTTCAGAAAACCTAGAATCTCAATTTTCAAAAATAACAGAGAACTTTTACTACCTGACTTCAGAACTTATCAGGCATACAACATAAACGCATGGAACAGAGGAGTCCAGAAAGACTCAAAGGTATGACCGACAGACGACCCACCAAGGTGCCCAGAAAACTCCATGGCGGGCGGGGGGCACCTTCCAGCCAGTGGGGCTTCACACAAATGGATCAACGGCTGACAAACGCCTGCAGAGTGTGTTCTGCAAAGGTTTTCTCCACTGTTCCCCACCCGGAGTCCACCCTGGGAGCCGTCCACTCCTCCCCACCCCGAGTCCACCCTGGGAGCCGTCCACTCTTCTCCCACCCCGAGTCCACCCTGGGAGCCGTCCACTCCTCCCCACCCCGAGTCCACCCTGGGAGCCGTCCACTCCTCCCCACCCCGAGTCCACCCTGGGAGCCGTCCACTCCTCCCCCACCCCGAGTCCACCCTGGGAGCCGTCCACTCCTCCCCCACCCCGAGTCCACCCTGGGAGCCGTCCACTCCTCCCCCACCCCAAGTCCACCCTGGGAGCCGTCCACTCCTCCCCCACCCCGAGTCCACCCTGGGAGCCGTCCACTCCTCCCCACCCCGAGTCCACCCTGGGAGCCGTCCACTCTTCTCCCACCCCGAGTCCACCCTGGGAGCCGTCCACTCCTCCCCACCCCGAGTCCACCCTGGGAGCCGTCCACTCCTCCCCCACCCCGAGTCCACCCTGGGAGCCGTCCACTCCTCCCCCACCCCGAGTCCACCCTGGGAGCCGTCCACTCCTCCCCACCCCGAGTCCACCCTGGGAGCCGTCCACTCCTCCCCACCCCGAGTCCACCCTGGGAGCCGTCCACTCCTCCCCCACCCCGAGTCCACCCTGGGAGCCGTCCACTCCTCCCCCACCCCGAGTCCACCCTGGGAGCCGTCCACTCCTCCCCACCCCGAGTCCACCCTGGGAGCTGTCCACTGTTCCCCAGCCCGAGTCCTGCCTGGGAAGCTGTGTGACCCGTCGCACATTGACACTAGGCTGCCACAAAGGACGGGGGCCTCCTGCTCCAAGGAAGGGCTGGTAGCAAGCCCAGGTGCCACCTGCCTTCCCCAGCACAGGTCTAAGAGCGAGTGTAAGCTGGCCCTGCTTCCCACAAACAGCCTCCCTTGGGCCACCAGCGCAGCCTGAGGTCTGAAGAAAGTTGACTATAAGCTGAGTCGGGTGCGCACTGCCTGCTGTCACCAACAGTGTAATACGAGTCAGACGAGAGCGACTGCAAGACGGAGGTGCCACCGGCAGATGACTACAGCAGATGCCTAGTTCTACACGAGGAAGGAAGCTTCTAGAACAGTGTCACAGCAGCTGTAACAGCTGGGTCTTGACAGACGAGTAGGAAGCAGGTGAGGGCTGGAAATGGCAACCACGCAAGGTCCCGGTGGCAGAGACAAGGCCGGCTCCTGACGCCAAGGGCACCTGCGCCCAGTGCACGCAGGCAGCACTCCGCAGGCTTCCAGCAACGTGACCAAACACAGGCCTTCGTAGAAAATCACTCGCATACTGGCCACGTCGGAGTCACGTAATTTTCTGTACTGCGGTTGAAAGGTTCTGACTGTCTTATTCTAGTGCAGGCTCTGCTCCACCCCCCACCCCAGGACTCCTGTAGTGGCTGGAGACACTCCTGGATATCACACCTGGAGGCAGGGAAGCTGCTCAGCAACCCACAGCATGCAGGATGCTCCCAGCCAGGCCATCTGGCTCAGAATGTCTGTGTGTGCAAAGGCTGGGAAACCCGCGTGCAGACAGGGAGCAGAGAGCAATGTCTTTTCTTAATACGAGACATTTCTACACTTCGTCTTTGCAGATGCTGACAGAAAACAGGGGTGAAAAGCCCTGAACGCTCTCATTCCAGCCTCCACGCTCCAGGCAGAGAAACGTCTCCACACCTTAAAAAGGGGTGTGACACGTTGTGGATTCTTGAATGCGGATACACAAACGTAAAAACACCCAACCAAAGAGCTCAGCCCAAAAACGTCCAATCAGTCACCAATAAATGTTTTCTGGTTTGTCCTAAAGAAAATCCATGAGAAAGCCATGACATGCAACTTCTAAACAAGTTATTTGCCTCAAAATACACAAGTATAGTAAGTACCAAACTCTGTGGGGTTCTGGCCTCTCAGCTCTCTCAGGGGAGGTCCGAGGGCATGGGTACATCAGAGAGGGCTACGGGCTGGGCCTGGACCATGGACGCCATCACCTCTGAGCATCGCCTCCAGGTGGGTCCAACCTTCTCCCTTCCTTCTACAGATCAGGAGGGCTCCAGGGTCTTCCCTAAGTTCCAACATTCTGAGTGTAGAAATGTATTTAGAGGGAAGAGTGTATTTTTTGCACCTAGACCTTGGGTTTCTAAATGTCATTCTCCACCAAGAAGCAGCAGGATTTGTTGGAGAATGGCTGATTCCAGGACTGTGGCCAGGAGAGCAGCAGCCTAGAATCCGTTATGCAGACAAGGCGGCAATGCCTCAAGACTCAGCCGCCGGGAACCAGCACCACGGGGATCCCGCCGGCCACAGCTGGGATAAGTTTTGTGTCAAGGCAAATAATAACAATAACAGATTATAAGCCATTAAATAAGAAACCATGAGCCTACACTGCTAAATAGACATGTTACTTATTTGTGACGGAGTCTCGCTCCGTCACCTAGTTTGCAGTGCAGTGGTGTGATCTTAGCTCACTGCAATCTCTGCCTCTGGGGTTCAAGTGATTCTCTTGCCTCAGCCTCCCGAGTAGCTGGGACTGCAGGTGCGCACCATCACGCCTATTTTTGTATTTTTAGTAGAGATGGGGTTTCACCATATTGGCCAGGCTGGTCTCGAATTCCTGACCTCAGGTGATCTGTTCACCTTGGCCTCCCAAAGTGCTGGGATTACAGGCGTGAGCCACTACGCCTGGCCTTATTTGTTCTTACGGCAGAAAGTCAACCAAAAAGTGGAGAAGAAATGCTGGAATTGAGAACACCACCACTGGACTATCATCCTAGAAATGAAGCGATTCAAGCAGGAATCACTGACAGATACCCAAAATGTGGGTCAGCTTGGTGCAAATGTATTTATGTGGTAACAAAGTATCTCTTTCAAGATACTGAATTACAACAGGAAAAGTTGTAACTTTTTACAACAGACACCACCTTCACTAAACGCAGGCTCTGGGACAGTCTCACCAGAGTGCACAGCTGCGATCTAACTGAGGGATGTCCTACTAAACCAGGCAATGATACAGAAAGAAAGAAAGACGAAGGAGCTGACTCTTGAGGGTTCAACCAGCGATGCCACGTGGGGTCCAGGGCTTGCTTTTGTTACAAAGGACTTTATTAGGACTATTAGTGCTATGTAAGAGCACGTCTTTGTTTTCAGGAAACTCAAGTATTTAGGGGTGAAGTGACATCACACCTGCAACTAACTCTCCAACTCCAGAAAAATGTGCGTGTGCATGGGGAAAGATAAGCAAACTCAGCAAAGCATTAACATTTGCGGAATCTGGGGTGAAGCTGGTGTGAGAATTCTGTGCACTGTTCTTGCAACTTTAAGGTCAAAAATTATGTCCCAAAAGAGCCAGAGTGGCTGGGTGTGGTGGCTCACGCCTGTAATCCCAGCACTTAGCGAGGCTGAGGCAGGATCACCTGAGGTCAGAAGTTCCAGACCAGCCTGGCCAACGTGGTGAAATCGTCTCTACTAAAAATACAAAAATTAGCCGGGTGTGGCTGGGAGTGATGGCTCACGCCTGTAATCCCAGCACTTTGGGAAGCCAAGGCAGGTGGGTCACCTGAGGTCAGGAGTTCGAGATGAGCCTGGCCAACATGGTAAAACCCTGCCTCTACTAAAAATACAAAAATTAGTTGGGCGCGGTGGCTCACGCCTGTAATCCCAACACTTCAGGAGGCCGAGGCAGGTGGATCACCTGAGGTCAGGAGTTCGAGACCAGCCTGGCCAACATGGTGAAACCCTGTCTCTACTAAAAATACAATAATTAGCTGGGCATGGTGGTGGGCACCTGTAATCCCAGCTACTCAGGAGGCCGAGGCAGGAGAATCGCTTGAACCCAGGAGGTGGAGGTTGCAGTGAACTGAGATTGCACCGCTGCACTCCAGCCTGGGTGACAACAGTGAAACTTCATCTCAAAACAAAAAACAAACAGCTTCAAAGGAACAAGTGTTGTTGTTTTGTCTCCTGTGCAGCCACAGGGGTGGGAGCCCCAGGCTGGAGTCCAGTGCAGTGCAGTCGTCAGCTGTGGCTGACGCTCTGCACCTGGT
Source organism: Homo sapiens (assembly GCF_000001405.40). Taxonomy (NCBI): domain Eukaryota; kingdom Metazoa; phylum Chordata; class Mammalia; order Primates; family Hominidae; genus Homo; species Homo sapiens. The sequence goes on along the minus strand of NT_187617.1, from coordinate 130,781 downwards.
TCAGTCGCCCAGAGCCCAGACGCAGCCATCCTGGAGAACACGCACAGGTGGGGCTCTGGCAGCGGTTACTGAAACTGTGGCTGTAAAGCACAACGTCTGAGGAATGTAAAGAAGGAACAAGGGCAGCCCAGCCTGATTCCCAACACTGCACACATCCACAGAGCCGTGGCTGGAAAGCTTCAACACTGCCACTGTGGTCTAGAGCGAGTCATCCAACAAAACCAGTTCCCAGCACGTCTCAAAACCACGTGGCACCACGTGCACCACACCATTCAGACCCTACTGCCCTCTCTGCTGGGTAAACAGACCTGCAAGGAAAGTCCTTGCCTCAGAACCTCCACAGACCCCAGGGAGCCATGGTGTCAAATGCTTCCAGCCTGAAAACACTTTAACCCCCTGGTGGTATGCTCAGGACAACCAACCAACTGCTCCGGTGCATGCCCACCAGTGAACTGGAGAAGTCAACTGCTGCGGTGCAGGCCCACCAGTGAACTGGCGAAGCCAACTGCTGCGGTGCAGGCCCACCAGTGAACTGGAGAAGCCAACTGCTGCGGTGCAGGCCCACCAGTGAACTGGAGAAGCCAACTGCTGCGGTGCAGGCCCACCAGTGAACTGGAGAAGCCAACTGCTCCGGTGCAGGCCCACCAGTGAACTGACGAAGCCAACTGCTGCGGTGCAGGCCCACCAGTGAACTGGCGAAGCCAACTGCTGCGGTGCAGGCCCACCAGTGAACTGGAGAAGCCAACTGCTCCGGTGCAGGCCCACCAGTGAACTGACGAAGCCAACTGCTGCGGTGCAGGCCCACCAGTGAACTGGCGAAGCCAACTGCTGCGGTGCAGGCCCACCAGTGAACTGGAGAAGCCAACTGCTCTGGTGCAGGCCCACCAGTGAACTGACGAAGCCAACTGCTGCGGTGCATGCCCACCAGTGAACTGGAGAAGCCAACTGCTGCGGTGCAGGCCCACCAGTGAACTGACGAAGCCAACTGCTGCGGTGCAGGCCCACCAGTGAACTGGAGAAGCCAACTGCTGCGGTGCAGGCCCACCAGTGAACTGACGAAGCCAACTGCTGCGGTGCAGGCCCACCAGTGAACTGGAGAAGTCAACTGCTGCGGTGCAGGCCCACCAGTGAACTGGAGAAGCCAACTGCTGCGGTGCAGGCCCACCAGTGAACTGGAGAAGCCAACTGCTGCGGTGCAGGCCCACCAGTGAACTGGAGAAGCCAACTGCTGCGGTGCAGGCCCACCAGTGAACTGGCGAAGCCAACTGCTGCGGTGCAGGCCCACCAGTGAACTGACGAAGCCAACTGCTGCGGTGCAGGCCCACCAGTGAACTGGAGAAGCCAACTGCTGTGGTGCAGGCCCACCAGTGAACTGGAGAAGCCAACATGATGCTGGGTATCAACTCGCTAACTGCATCATTCCCGCCAGTCTATAGTCAGCACAAAAAATGCATCAAAATCGTACGACACCAGCATTCTTCACCATTTAAAGCACCGTAGGGAAATTACTGTCTTTTAAACGCTACTTCAAAAATGTTACAAATATTAAATGAGTTAAGTTTTAGCTCAAGTTCCTCTTAACATTGTAAGGAATTTTGCACATATGATGCTAGATGTATATTTAAAAACCTACCAAGACCATCTCTTCATAACCTTTAAAATGTGCATTTATCCTTTAAGAAATATCACCTGAATCTCTTCAAACTCATCAGTTCCATTCTCTCTACATTCTCTTTCTCCTGAAAATATAAAAAGCACTTTTTTCTGAGACAACTTACATCGCTTGTTTTCCGTTTTGTATTTGTGCACTTTTAAAACACACATAAAACTGAGAATTCATCCATTCCTCTGTACCCAGATACTAGATGATTTCACATAACCCACTTTAAAACTAACTTTAAAGAAACCATGAAAATGGAGACAAATCTGATAATGCACACAAAATTTCTGAAACCTACAAACCATTTCCAGGCAGACGTGCTTCAAAGTCCTTTATCTAAAAGATTAGATCGGAGATACCTAAAAACCCATGACAAAGGTAAATCACAGACGAACAAAACCAAGCAAGTAACAAGGCCCAGTGGTTTTCTGTTAGGTGAAAAGTGGGAAAAACAAAGCAAAACGTTTGAAGTGCAACTTACCCACGTTTAATGGGCTGACAAAGTGACAGCCCCCCAAATTTTAGGCACAAATATCTTTTTTAAAGTATCATCCTTTAAATAGTGCAGGCGTCAACAGGGAAGAATAAAAGTATTCTAAATAATTATTAGAATTGTTAATAATAAAACTATTCTAAAAGAATTACCAATTCATCAAGATTCTTGGTACCAGGATGAAAACGAAATGTCCTTATTTCCAGGACCGGACCCTTAGGTGACGACGTTCGTGCACTGACTGAAGCACATTTAGAATTTCAGAGGCTTCTACTCCCTCATCACAGAACAATAAATTCGGGGACTAATCTTAGGTTGCAGCCTATTCTAACTGTATTACTATTTCTCAGAGATTCTCATTCCAAAATCTACAAAGCAATAAAGACAGCAATACCGTTGCTGTTGGAATGATCTTCATTTTATTCAGCAATGTTTTTCTGCTTCTCTGTGGCACTCTCACACCCTGCGCTGGTGAATGCAGATGCCCTTCCTGTGGACACGCTAAAGGCACAGGTACAGTCTGTCAGACGTCATCAACCCTCGCACACGGCCTCCGCCTGTTAGTTCTCACCAGTCACTGCAGGCTCCCAGATCATTTTAGGTACCTTCCCCTTTCTGTGGCGATTTAAATACCTCCCTGTGAGTGACTGGGAAAAAGCCAAAGCAAAGAAATCTGCAGGAAAAAAAAGACTTAGTTTCTGAAAGATGGTGACCTGTCAGAATATTTTCTATTAAAATAATTGTACTCCACATAAATATTATAAAAGCAGACAAACACTATTGTTCTAGCTACTCCCCCCACACTAGGAATCTCCAGGGCTGAAACCTGGTCTACAGAGAGCAGCACGCAGAGAACCAAGGACAGAGGCTCTCTCAAGGGCCTGAGCACACCACGAGGCATCTGCACCGTCCTCCTCACCAGGACCTCACACCCCGTAAGGAGCACCGCAGAGAAACTGGGAGTAGAGACCACGAGGTCCCTGCACCGTCCTCCTCACCAGGACCTCACACCCCGTAAGGAGCACCGCAGAGAAACCGGGAGTAGAGACCACGAGGTCCCTGCACCGTCCTCCTCACCAGGACCTCACACCCTGTAAGGGGCAGGGCAGGTCCAAACTTCTTGGAACCTCAGTTTCTTTCCAATGGAGTGAGGAGGTTCTTACTTCTGCCAGATAGGATGAAGCCCGACAAAAACATACAATCTTATTAAAGATCAAAACGACAATCTAGTGACTATTGTAACTTCACCCAAATGCAGTGTTTTTAAGTTCCCAGAATGGTTCTTTGTCTAAAAATAACCACTGATGTGGTTAGGATAAATGTTGCTGGTAACAACAATGCAGGCAACGAGGGCACGGACCCACCTTGCCTGGTGACAACAACGCAGGCAACGAGGGCACGGACCCACCTTGCCTGGTGACAACAATGAAGGTAACAAGAGCAGGGACCCACCTTGCCTGGTGACAACAATGCAGGCAACGAGGGCACGGACCCACCCTGCCTGGCTGGTGCTGGTGCTTTTCACAGGTTCACTCACACCTGCTATTTATAGAGGGAGGTTTCACAGGGCCACAGGTTCCATTACCTCTCTCCGCAGTGCTCCGCCTCAGTAACCGACACTAAGCTACACAAGGCTCACTCACACATACCCACGTGGGATTCTTCTTTCTTTGTTAAAATTCCATGCTATAAAGAACTGTTTAGACTGACGTTCTAATCTACGCTCTGGAGCAGCGCGTAGTCTGCTCCTCGGCACTGTGAGCATGCTGGCTGCACATGTACAAGCAACATCCACACCTCTCAGTTTCTCAAACACAGTCTCAGCTAAACAAGTTACTGTCAAGCAGCCGGCGGCCAGTGGGGTCAAGAGCCACCTTCACTAAGGTGATGGCACACAAGCGACGCTTGAGCTTAGCACACTCAGGCTGCTGCCGCTGTCTGCTCTCTGCAAGCTCCAGTTCAGCAGATTTAATGCTATGTTTTCAAAGATACTTCCCGTTATTCCTGAAAAATAAGTATTTTTATAAGCCCTGTGAAAGGATCAAGATAAAGGAACAACAGTGGGTAGGCACCCCCCGGTCCCAAAACCGTCCTGGGCCAGAAGCTAATTCATAACACCTGCAGGGTGAACACAGCGACCAAGCCTCAAGAGACAGGCTGTCCTCCCCGTAAATCCCACACCTCGTCAGCAATGTCCTCAACAACACCCTCGGGAAATCTGATTTCCCAAGACTTTCTCCAAAGGCCCCTCACCAAGGAGCCACCAGGGCACGCAGGCAACCAGTAAGCCCTTGAGGGACCAAAACTGTGTGGCCACATCAAGGGCTTCGCCCAAGCCAGAATTCCAACGTCAGATCGCCTGCGCATTCCTCAGGCAGCCGCCCTGAAACCCCGTTTCTGACACCTGAGTTTCTGATCCATCAGCTGGGCAGGACCTGCTCTCTCTCACCAAGAGCCACGGGGTTCCATTGGTGCTGGGAGGTCCCTGTTAAAAGGGACCTCCTTTCAGCACAAGCCCAGGAGCAGATTCTGCACCTCCCCTGCCCTCACACGCAGATGAGCTGAAGCCAGGGTTGGAGCCTCCACAAAAGCAGTTGTGGATTCTGCCCATGCTTGTCTATACAAGTGCGTGTTATTTGCATAATCTGAAAGGGGTACTCTAAGGATCAATACACGATAATCAGTCTATAAACATTTAAAGCAAACTTCAACCAAATGCTTGCTCTCCCAGATAAAGATCTCAGGAATCTGTAACTTCAAGAGAACTTTTAGAGGTGGTCAAGATAAGTCAATTATAAAACAGCCCACGTGCAATTCTGGGAACTTGCTTAGTAAAAATCAAACACCTGGGCTGGTGAGCAGAGTCAATGACGGTTGAAGGCAGTTCCTCTTCCCTGATGTCTTCACCTTCCAGCCTCCAAGTGGTGGGACACCGCAGAAGAGAACCGCGGAGCTGTTGCTGGAAATGACCACACCAGCAATCAGAGAAAAAAAGAAAAACAGAGGAAAAACCTTTTAAGTGAAAGTGACTCAGGCTCTCTAGAGGAAGGCAGATGCTCTTCACCAACCGACGTCCCAGAGGCGTCGCAGGGATGAGAACTAAACTCACACCTATCACCTTCCAACATCAGGATGGAATTATGCCCAATATTCTCTACTTCATCACAAAGCGGCACAATCTATTATGGAAAGACTTCCATATTTAATCAGTCCCTCATTCTCACGGGGGACGGGCTGCAGGACTCCTTCAGATACCAAATTCCACATCCACAGATACTCAGGTCCCGCAGTCAACCTGGAGAACCCACTGATCCAGAAAGTCAGCGCTCTGTATAAACAGGCTGGGCTCCACACCCAGCAAACAGTGTTGGGCGTGGAACCCATGGATGCGAACAGCAGACGATTTACTGAAAAACATCTACATAAAGGTGGCCCTCGCAGACCAAAGCAAGTTGTTCGAGGGTTAGCTGTAAATTGTGTATAAAGAGCTGCTGAGCTGGAACTCAACGTCCTGGAGAAATCCATCACTGTTGGCTTTAAGCAAAAGCTGCGGAGATTTCTACCTGCAACTCTCTATGGAGAGACGTCAGCAAAGCCACCACAAGTCCACACTGCAGGGCGCTACTCCCATCACAGGGGTGCTGCCAGAGAAACGCACTTGTAACCCACCCTGTTCACAAAATCTGTCAACAAGTGACTGAATCTAGTAATTTTCAACTGTGTTCCACAAAGGTGCAGCAGGCATTTTGGGGAGGCCAACACATACCGGCTCCCAACGGCAGCCCCCCAGAGCCAGGGCAGTGTCATCTGGACCACACGGAGCCGACCGTCAGCAGCATGGACTCCTGCTGCAAATGCACCTCCCGAATTCAGCTGGCTAATGCAACTGCGAGGCAGGAACCTGATTCCAAACAGACGACCAGAACTGCCAGGGCACATGCACACAGGGCTTTAGACTAAAGCCCTTCCAGTCGCTCCTTCCTGGATCTATGGCACCCACGCCCACTGCACGGGCAGGAACACCTCCGGAAATGCTGACGTCACACCACCACCACCACACTCCCCAGAACGCTCATAAAACCCATGTACACAAACCCACAGGAGTACACAGAAACGGGGAAGAAGCCACCTCAAATTCCAGGCAGCACCGTCTGTGGCTTTCTCTAAGGCAAGGATTTACCTGCCGCCCATGGACTGGAGGCAGAGAGATGAGCCTCCTGGAACCAGAGGGACACCTGGTGCCACACAGACGCTCCATCTGAGGAGAAATGATATCACATCAGTGTCTCAAAGGGCCCTGTGAGGTACCCCAAGATCTCAAACAGCACCTCCCTGTAAACACTACTGACTGCTGGGAACCCGTCATCAAGCTCATGACCTGGCTGGCTGACTGACTGATGCACTGGGTTGGTTTTATTCACTAGACTGACTGAACATGGAATTTCAATACTAACTTGCCACATAACCAAGTTACTCACCTGTCTAGGCCAAAGCAGCCCTTTCTGTACAATCAGAGGAACAGAATGAAACCTCAGTAGGGATCTTCCATCCTGGGGTTTTCTGTCCAGGGAATACACCAGCATTGGGATCTGCCTCCACAATCCTCCCAGGTACGGCCAGTGCCCACTGAGGAAGCCGTGAAGGCATTTTCTGGGAGGCAAGGCCCTGAACCTCCCAGCCCCACCCACCAGCACGCAGGGGGCAGGAGTGAGTGCCCGTGCCGAGGGTCAAGGACCCAGGCTCTGTCTCCAAAGGAAGCGGAGCCAGGACGTTCTGGGGCTGTGACGGGAAGACTCCTGTCCCAGTCCTCACTCTTGCGGAACCAGATGCAGAGAAGATCCTCAACAAACACAGGGTCAGGGCAAGCCAAAGGGACGAGGAGCCGCGGCTGCCGAGGAGGGAAGAGAGTGGCATCCCCAGAAGGAGCGGCACCTTTCCCAGAGGGAGCTCACGCCCGGCCCACTGCGGGCTGGAGTGTCCACCTCTCCCTGGAGTTTCTGTTCTCACAATCAAAACTACCAGAGCCAGGCGCACACGCGTGTCCACTTGCCCGCCCATCCCAGAACACAAGGGTAGATTCAAACATGGCTGGACACTTCGGTGCTACGGAAACATATCCCCTTCTGGGGTCAGAGCACAGCTACTGAGAGCTGTGGAGTCTGTCACAACGCCCACGTCACCCTGAAGCAGCCTGCGACAATGCCCACTGTGGTCAACCACGGGGCTACTGCCTTCGCTGCAGGCCTGGGTTCCGCCCGTTCCTTAGCCACGAAACAGAACTGCACCAGGTTTTACAACTGCGTTTCACAAAGTTTACAAAAATTTAAAGATGTGCACACACCCAACAGTTTATATTTCAATAACAGGTCTGGAGCCTGCCTGATGACTCTTGTGCTCACAGCCACCCATGAGTTTTCCTAAGTCACAAAGGTGGAGCTAAAGGAAGGGGCGGGGACTATCACTGCAGAAAGAAAGAAACAAACATAGCTTTTCCAAACAGTAACTTCGTGTCGCTACGCAGGACCCTTTCCTTTTATCTCAAAATGCTCCCCGTTGGTAAAACCACAGGTGGTGACTATCCAGTTTTAGGGGAGAAGCGCAGTGCCTGCGTCCCGCTTTATCGCTCCCTCACCAGGGGCGCCCCTGCCCACCGCGGACGCAGCAGCCCGGGGGTCCTCCAGGATCCCTCCCCGGAGCCGCCCGCCCTCGGCCCCGCCCGGCTCAGCACACTCACCCTGGGGCGACCACCTGGCCCGGCTGCGCGCACAGCTCCCGCACCACGCCCGCGCGCTCCGACCTCAGCCTGCGTTCCGGCCGCGCGGGGCGCACGCAGCCCCCGGAGGCTACACGGGACTGAGAGGCCCCGGAGGACTGCGCGGAGGCGGCGGCCTCGAACACGGCCAGCACCGAGCCGATGCGCACGGCCGCGCCCGCCGCCACCCTCCACTCCAGCAGGCGCAGCGGCGCGGGCCCCGGGCAGCGCACCTCGGCCACAGCCGCCGTCGGGGCGCCCTCGGCAGGAACGCGACCCGCGGCCGGCACCTCCATCGCGGACAGAGGGCGGGCGGGCGGTCGGTACGGGGCCTGCGCTGCGCTCAGAGCGCAGCGCCTACCGCGGCGACACAACCCAGGCGGCGACGCTGTAGTTCCTCTCGGTACCGGCTTCCACCCGTCGCCTAGCCCGCGCCGACTTCCTGGAGGGCGCGTGACGTCACGCAAGGGCGCCGCGTACGTGCGTACGTGCGCGTGTAAATACGAGCGCCGCGCGGGGCCGGAGCCGGCTCCGTCCTGGGACCAACCCTGCGTGCCGGCCGTGAAGAACTGCGTTCCTGAGCCCTACCTACTTTTCCTCGGAGCGCCGGCACCGTGGAGCAGCGGCATGCAACGCGGGCCGCTGTCGCCCAGTCCCAGTGACGGTCTTGGCGCGCTCGGAACTACGTATCCCGGCGTGCACCGCGGACAGAGCATGGCGGGACTACGAGTCCCAGCGTTCAACGCAGGCCTGCGTGCCATTACCCCATCACGCGCTGAGACCCAGCATCCCGAGACTACGAGTTCCGGCATGCACCGCGAGCCGCTCTCCTCCACTCCCATCGCGCACTGTGAGTCGCAACGTCGCGGGACTACGGGTCCCGGCATGCCTTGCGCGCCGCGGGCCCAGAGACGTGAGGCTGTCGGCGTCCTGGTGGCCCCGCCTCGTGTCCCCCCCCGGACCCCACGCCGCGGGAGCTTGGGGGTTGCGGTCTTCTCTTCCTCCGACCTCACCTTCGATGCGGAAGCGCAGGGGCAGGTGCGCCGCCCTCGGCCCGCGCAGGCGGTGGGCCCGTCTGGGGCAAGGCGCCCGGAAGCGCCTGGTTGGTTCAGAAAATCGGACCGCAGCGGGAGGGCGGGCACCGGCGCGTGGTCTCAGTGGCCCCAGGCGAACCCTGATGAGCAGCAGCCGCAAGTGGCTTACTAAAGGAGCCACTTTCTACGTTTGTCTGGAATTTACGTGAATTAAGCTGGCGGGCGGGCGGCCAGGCCTGTAGTCTCAGCACTTTGGGAGGCTCAGCACTTCGGGAGGCTGTGGCGGGCGGATCACCTGAGCCTGGGAGTTGGAGACCAGCCTGCGCAACGTAGCAAGACCCTATCTCTAAAACAGATTCATTAATACTTAGCCAGGCGCGGTGGCTGAGGTCCCAGCTACTCGGCAGGCCCAGGCTGGCCTGAGCCAGACCGCTCTGGACTGTTTTAATTTTTTCAGCCTTAATACCTGCCAGAATTTTTTTTTTACTATGTATCTTTGTCCTTACGTATATAAATTTTATATACAATTGAGATTATCCTGTATTTGCTTTTCCCCCCTCACTTTTATATGGTGACTTTTCTCATGTTAGGCTGAATACTAACATTTTGGAAACTGTCGGCCTGAAAACGAGCGGAGACACAGTTTCTCTAAGTAGAGAGTTTATTTGGGCCACACTTGAGCACAAATTCAAGGCGCCCTGAATGTGTACTCCGATTAGCAGTTAACAGTGGATTTTAAAGGCAAAAAAGGGGGCCAGGGAGTGGACTAATAGGAACTTGTTTGTGAGGAATTCTCACTGGTTTACAGAAATAACATTGATTAGTGACTGACTATATGTTGTTCAGCTATTGAGTGTGGGTATAGTGTCCATTGTGGCGTCATTAGGTTAATTTATAGCTGTTTGTGGCGCTGTTGCCACCAGTAGCAGTTTAAAGAGGTGAACACAGGTCAAGGGGTAGTAGGGCGCGATTGTCGCCTCATTTGAATGTCTCTCTCGGCCTGATAATTAAAAGAACTCGCGTTCCTCAGATAAAAATTCTCTTTTCTCAAAACCATTTAAATGTGGTAATTAGAATGGCCCAGAAGGGGCACAGTGCCTTTTAGCCCTCGCCATTACTTGCTCTTAGGAGTGCATTTTTTGTAGCTGTGGGTTTTTGACTATCTCTGCTGCTTTCTCCAGCCCCTACCCTCGTGACTACAAGGGAAAACGTGCGGTGCTCACGAGAGAGCCTTTATGGGATTTTTAAAAAATGGGGATTGTGGGAAAATGGCTCCAGCAGTCACAGTTTTTCAGTTTCTCACAATCCCATAAAAACAGAGCAACCAGGTAACAAAACTAAAGCATGGGCAACATTTACAGACCACTGGATGGTGAAGAATTCCCATGAACCCCTGGTTCACACTGTAAGGACACACTACTCAGCATGGGCAACATTTACAGACTACTGGATGGTGAAGAATTCCCATGAACCCCTGGTTCACACTGTAAGGACAGACTACTCAGCATGGGCAACATTTACAGACCACTGGATGATGAAGAATTCCCATGAACTCCTGGTTCCAACTGTAAGGACACACTACTCAGCTGTAGCCTGAAGCCGCCTCCTTACATACTGTAAGTTTAGCCTATAGGTTTCTCCATACGTAGTGAACAGTCATCTAATTGGATGTGTGGACACTGTAACCTACTCTTGAATCAGTCACAGGCAGCAGCACTTCAAACTCTGTTTCAATAAGCCAGACACGAGCTGTAGCCACCCTGCTGTTTGCAGGCCTCACCTCTGCCTTCTGTGCCTCACTCCCTTTTCTGTCCGTAAGTCTTTGGCCACACAGTGGCACTGGAGTCTCTCTGAGCCTATTCTGGTTTGAGGGGTTCCCTGATTCCTGAATCATTCTTTGCTCAATTAAACTCTGTAAAATTTAATGTTTCTAAAGTTTTCCTTTGAACACTACCAACAGCGCAAGCCCAGGGTGATGTCGGGGCCTGCGAGAGAGAAAGTAGGGGGGCCAAGGGCTCCACACTCACTGTGTGAACAGGTTTGTCTCAAAGGTTGTTGATATGTATCAGCATTCCCTATTTGAACCTGTTCCCACCAGCAGTATGTGAACTTTGGTTTGAAAAAATAATTCTGTAAAATGGGAAGAACCGTGTGTTATGTATGGACTTTGAAATACAGACCTCGATGGAACTGACAGACTGATCTAGGTAGACAGATGTAGACATCCCTAGGTGATTACAACTCCAACCTGGATAGATGCCATGTAGTCTTCCAATTAGAGATGCTATACAGCCAATGAAACTTAACCATGTCTTTAATAGGTGTGCCACCTTTTGTTAAAATCAGTTATCTTACAAGTATCATGAGAAAAAACATTAGTATCAACAGATTGAAACATTTATTGGGAAGAAAGTGAGGCCACAGTCAGGAAAAATAGCATAAGCCACAACCTCTTAGTCAAGAATCTTAGAAACAGCTGTGTTTCGTGTGTTTCAGAACTCTGAATTGTTCTGATTTTAGGAAAGTGACGTGTGCATATTCCACTTGGGGCCTGGGGCAACACCCTCATCAAACTGATATTCCTGCAGCAAAATACAAGCAGGACGAAAAGGATCATGGGTCGTCTCGTGCCAAATCAGGTTAGACTTTCCGCCAAATGAAGTACACAAAACTTTCCATGTTTAGGACTATGAATTTGGGCCAGGCACTGTGACTCATGCCTGTAATCCCAGCACTTTGAGAGGCTGAGACAGGTGGATCACTTGAGCCCGGGAGTTCAAGACCAACCTGGGCAACATAGTGAGACCTCATTTCTACAAAAAATTAGCTGAGTGTGGTGGTGTGCACCTGTCTGGAGTCCCAGCTACTCAGGAGGCTGAGGTGGGAGGATCCATTGAGCCTAGGAGGTCAAGGCTGCAGTGAGCTGTGATTGCACCACTGTCCTCCAGTCTGAGCAACAGAGCGAGACCCTGTCTTAAAAAAAATGGATACTGGGGCCACAGATAAGAGGTATGGGACTGTAATGCAGTCACCTTTACGTAGTGGCTCAGGGGAAAAGGAGGAATCCCAGTCCCCAGAATTCTAGTTTTATCTACGTCACGGGTGGTTTTGGTGAAACCTGGAAGGATTCTGTGGTCACTTTTCCTCACTGATGTATGTTTCCTCCAAACTCAACTGTGTCATTTGATTAGCATGCAAGGGTCTGTGCTAGCAAGGCCAGAACAAAAGGAGGTTAAGGGGAAGGACAGCAGTTGTAGGAATAGAATATGGCCTTGGGGAGTCCAAGATCTCCTGGGCCTGGGTATCTGTGTGTGAACATCATCTGCACGTATGTGACTATGCTTGGGGCCCTTTAACTGTTGCACAGGCCAACATGTGGCCCCCAAGACCCTTATCTGACACCTTATGTGAAAACTCAGTGGATTAAAGACTAAACAAGAAATAAAGGTATACAATTTCTAGAAGAAAACGGGAAAAATTTATGACATTGGATTTAGCAGTGATTTATTGGATATGACACCAAAGACACGGGCAACAAAAGTAAAACTAAGACGACATCAGGCTTAGAAACTTCTGTGCATCGAAGGACACAATCAACCTTTCCCTTCTGTGCAGGGAAAAGGTAACCTGTGGAATGTGAGAAAATATCTGCAAATCATATATCTGATAAGGGGTTAATATCTGGAATATATAGACAACCACCACTCAACAGTAAAACAAGTCACCTCATTTAAAAATGAGCAAGGGACTTCAACAGACACTTCTCTGAAGAGGATATACAGTCAGCACTCTATCGATGGGTTTTGCATCCCTGGATGTAACCAGCCAGGGATTGAAAATATTTTTATTAAAAAAATGTGCCCATGCTGAACATGTACAGACTTTCCTTCTCATTGTTCTCTAAACAATATAGTGTAACAACTATTTACATAGCATTTACTTTGCATTAGCTATTATAAGTAATCTAGTGACGATTTAAAGGATGCAGGAGGGTGTGCATAGGTTACAGGCAAATACTCCCAACATCCTTAGATTTTGGTCCGTGGGAGGTTCTGGAACCAGTCCCCCACAGATACCAAGGGACAGTCGTATTTACAGATGACCAGTAGGCACATGAAAAGATGCTCAAAATCACTGACCATTAGAGAAATGCGAACCACAGTCACAATGAGATGATCACTCCATACTCATGAGGATGGCTATGATGAAAAACAGCATGGAGTTAGGATGGCTGTGATGAAAACAGCATGGAGGTTTTCCTCAGAGTTAGCATGTGATCCAGGAATCCCACCTGTACGTATTTACCCAAAGAATTGAAAGCAAAGTCTAAAGAGCCACTTGCACACCATGTTCACAGCTGCACTGTTCACAGTAGCCAAGAGGCAGAAACAACATAGCGTCAATCAACAGATGAATGGACAAGCCAGGTGGCCTGTGAGATGGGATATTATTAAGCCTTAAAAAGGAATGAAGGCCAGGCACAGTGTCTCATGCCTGTAATCCCAGCACTTTGGGAGGCCGAGGTGGGTGGATCACGAGGTCAGGAGATCGAGACCATCCTGGCTAACATGGTGAAACCCCATCTCTACTAAAAATACAAAGAATTAGCCGGGTGTGGTGGTGGGCACCTGTAGTCCCAGCTACTCCGGAGGCTGAGGCAGGAGAATGGTGTGAACTGGGAGGCGGAGCTTGCGGTGAGCCGAGATCGCGCCACTGCACTCCAGCCTTGGCGACAGAGCAAGACTCCATCTCCAAAAAAAAAAAGGAATGAAATTCTGACCCATGCTACAACATGGGTGAACCTTGAAGAAACTATGCCAAGTGAAATAAGCCAGCTGCGAAAAGGCAAATACTGTCTTTTTTTTTTTTTCTTTTGAGACAGAGTCTTGCTCTGTTGCCAAGCTGGAGTGCAGTGGCATGATCTTGGCTGTGCAATACCGTCTTATTCCCCTTCTGTGAGATGCCTAAAGTCAAATTTATAGAAACAGAAAACAAAATGGTAGTTACCAGGGCTGGGGGCAGGGTGGGCAGTTGTTTGATGGGTACAGAGTTTTAGTTTTGCAAGATAAAAAAAATTCAGACCAATATGAATAAACAATGCTACTAAAGTGTACACTTAAAAACAGTTAATATGGTAAATTTTATGTATTTTTTAACCACAATTAAAATGTATTATTATTTTTTATTGAGATGGAATCTTGCTCTGTTGCCCAGGGTGGAGTGCGGTGGTGCAATCTCGGCTCACTGCAACCCCCATCTCTCGGGTTCAAGCAGTTCTCCTGCCTCAGCCTCCTGAATAGATGGGACTACGGGCACCCACCACCATGCCCGGCTAATTTTTGTATTTTCAGTAGAGATGGGATTTCACCATGTTGGCCAGGCTGGTCTCAAACTCCTGGGTTCAAGTGATCCACGCATCTTGGCCTCCCAAAGTGCTGGGATAACAGGCGTGAGCCACCACACCCGGCCTGGAGTTAACATTTAAAAAGTGTAAGAGGCCTCTACTGGAATTAGATGATTATTTTTCAGACTTATTTTTAGAGATCACTTTGCAGAGTTCTGCTTAATTTGTGGCATAATAGAATAAATATTCCGATTTCTGAACTAAATAATCTGAGAATGTACTCATTTCATAATGTGAACCAGAATTGCTTGAGAAGCACAGAGGTAATGGGAATTAAGTACATTTAAAAAAGCAAATTCCAGGTCTATTTAGATGCTCTTTAAAGACCATTGCCTGTGACACCTGTTTCTAAAAGTTAATAATCTCTAGGCCAAAAAAGAAAAGAAAATGAAATGTTAACCAGTTTTTACTCCCCTTGATGACTTTCTTTTTTCCTTTTTTTACTTTCCTTTGTGATTTCTTTGTGAGTTCTTCCTAACTTCCCATTCAGGCCAAAATCATGAACAGCTTTAGATGTTGGTTACACTGTGAATCTTAACACTGAGAACCCACTTACCTTGCTAAGCATCTCTGCAGAGGCAAGGATGGTGCTTATTGTCGGGGGCAGATGACACTTTGCCAGCTGCTGTACCAAGTGCATTGCAGAGCCTGGTCTCATTTCATCTGCACCATGACTCACTGAGGTAGCTACGGTTTCCAGCTTACAGATAAGAGAGGAAAGCGAGGCCTGCGGAGGTTTGGGTGCTCAGCTGCACAGCCAGGAGCGGGCAGGACTGGCATCTGGAAGCCAGGTGGCTGACTGCAGACCCTGCTCCCGTTACCTCCGCTAGACGTCTTTGTGATCTCAGCTGATGAAGGGGCCGTACTCCAGGGCCGTCAAAACGAAACGGGACAGCTTTTTCGATAAATACAATTTATCTGAATAATGTAGGAAATACAGAATATAGTTGATGTTTTGTTTGGTGTTTTATTTTTGCCCTCCTTACAAGAGGACTGGCAGGAAGGGGACGGAGGCCGCTAGACTGGTCTGACTTCAGGGGCAGGTGAGAATGATGCCTTGGGCTGGGCTCACCGTGCCTAAGTGTGCAGTACAGAGAAGGCAAGGCTCTAGGGAGGTGAGGGCAGGCTGGCGGGTGGACGCAGCTCCCTGCTTCCTGCGTTTCACAGAGCCCAGCTGGCCCCTGGTCCTGATGCCATTTGAAGGAAAATGTCAGGAGCCAGATCAGGGCAGCAAGGAGTGGAGGCTCCTTTCATTCCTCCATACCCACTAGCTGTCACATAAGGCAACAGTTCTGCCCCCTCAGGGAGCTGCCTCACTCAGGCTCACGTTCAGGTTCCGAGCTTTGAACTTCAGTCAGTGTGCCAGCTGTCTGCTGAATTTCAGTCTCAACATACGAGGAATGGAAGGAAATTTCTTTAGCTTGATAAACAGCCTCTACAAAAAACCTGTAGCTGACATCAGACTCAATGCTTGAAGATGGGAGGCCTTCGCCTAAAATCAGGAATAAAACAAGAGCGGCTTGCCCCTTCTAGGTAATTGTGTACAGAAGGCTCTAGCCAGGGCAGTTAGTCAAGAAAAAAAGCATCCAATTCAAAAGAAAGGTATAAAACAATCTCTAGAGATTGTTGAAGATGGCTTAATCTTTTATGTAAAAAAAGCCTATGGCAGGGCACAATGGCTCACACCTATGATCCCAGTGCTTTGGGAGGCCAAGGTGAGAGGACTGCTTGAGCCCAGGAGTTCAAGGCCAGCCAGGGCAACACAGTGAGACCCCATCTCTACAAAACAAACAAACAAACAACCTATGGAATCTTTTTTTTTTGAGACGAGTTTTGCTCTTGTTACCCAGGCTGGAGTGCAGTGGCGCGTTCTCAGCTCACTGTAACCTCTACCTCCTGGGTTCAAGCAATTCTCCTGCCTCAGCCTCCCGAGTAGCTGGGATTACAGGCACCCGCCACCACACCTGGCTAATTTTTGTATTTTTGGTAGAGACAGGGTTTCACCATGTTGGCCAGGCTGGTCTGCAACTCCTGACCTCAGGTGATCTGCCCACCTTGGCCTCCCAAAGTGCTGGGATTACAGGCATGAGCCACCGCGCCCGGCTGGAATTCATTTTAAAAACCTTAGAAAAACCATGTTTAGCAATGTTGCAGGATATAAATTGTGTTTCTATATACCAGCAATGAGAAAGCCAAAATAAGCAAACAATTCCGTTTATAATAGCACCAAAAAGAATAAAATACTCAGGAATAGACTTAAGAAGTTCAAGATGTGAACACTGAAAACTGCAAAGCATTGTTGAAAGAAAATAAAGAAGATTTAAATAGATTGAAAGATATCTCATGTTTATGGATCAGAAGACTTAATATTGTTAAGAAGGAAATATTTCCCAAATCGATCTATAGAGTCAATACAATCCTTTTCAAAATCCCAGCTGACTTTTATGCAGAAGTTGACAAGCTGATCCTAAAATTCATAAAAATGAAAGGGACCCAGGATAGCAGAAAGAATCTTGAAAAATTATTTAGAGTACTCAGAATTCCCTACAAAGCTGCAGTAATCAAGACAATGTGGTACTGACATCAGGATAGAAATGTAGATCAGTGGAATAGAATTCCAGTCTAAATAGAATTTAGAGTCCAGAAGTAAACCCTCATATTTATGGTCAACTGATTTTCAAGGATGTGAAGACATCTTATTGGGCAAAAGAAAAGTGTTTTCAACAAATGGTGCTGACAATATGTAAATGACCAGTGAACACATGACAAGATGTTCAGTGTCTTTAAAGGTCAATGTATTAGTCTGTTCTCATGCTGCTAATGAATACATACCTGAGACTGCGTAATTTATAAAGGAAAGAGGTTTAATTGACTCAGTTCCACAGGGCTGGGGAGGCCTCACAATCATGGCAGAAGGCAAAGGAGGAGCAAAGTCACGACTTACATGGCGGCGGGCAAGAGAACGTATGCAGGGGAACTGCCCTTTATCAAACCATCAGATCTTGTGAGACTTATTCACTATCCTGAGAACAGCACACGGAATTCCCACCCCCATGATTCAGTTACCTCCCACCGGGTCCCTCCCATGACGTGGGAATTATGGGAGCTACAATTCAAGGTGAGATTTGGGTGGGGACACAGCCAAACCATATCAGTCAGGGATCTGCAAATCAAAACCACAATGAGAAACCACCTCATACCTGTCAGGATGGTGCTATGGCTTGAGTGTGTCCCACAAAGTTCATGTGTTGGAAACCTGATCCCCAGTACAACTGTGTTGAGAGGTGTGGCCTATAAGAGGTGATTAGGCTGTGACAGCCCTGCCTTCGTGAATGGCTGATGCTGTTATCAAAGGAGTGGGTTCGTGATTACGGACTTGAGTTCCTGATGAAAGGGAGCTTGGCCTTCTCTTGCTCTTGTTTTCACACACACTGTTGGACCCTCAGCCTCTTGCTCTTGTTTTCACACACACTGTTGGACCCTCAGCCTCTTGCTCTTGTTCTCACACACACTGTTGGACCCTCAGCAGTTGTGGCCCCTGGATCTTGGATTTTTCCACCTCCAGAATCCTGGGTCAAATACATTTCTTTTATTTATAAATTCCCCAGTCTCTGATATTCTGTTATAGCAAAGCAAAATGGACTAAGACAGATGGCTATAATAATAAAAACGATAAAAATAGTAATGTGATTATATTGGGTCATCCTGTAACAAATGGACCACACTAATGCAAGATGTTAACAATTGCAGAAACTGGGGGTGAGGGGATGGAAGAGTATGTGGGAATTCTTTGTACTCTCTGTGCATTTTTTCCCTAAACCTAAAAATACTCCAAAAAATAAAGTGTATTAAAATAAAAATAACAGGTGATTCTGTGGAGAAATTGGGACCCTCATAAGTTGCCAGCAGGAATGTAAAATGGTGCAGCAACCTTGGACAACATTTGGCCTCAAAATGTTAAACATCAAGTTGTCTTATGACCCAGAATTCCTAAGTGTATGCCCAGGAGAATTGAAAATATATGTCCATATGAAAACTTGTACCTAAATATTCATAGCGGCACTTTTCGCAATAGCTAAAAGGTGGAAATGACCTAAACGTTCAGCAAATGATTAATGGATAAACAAAATTGGTATGTCCATGAAATGGAATATTATTTGGCCATAAAAAATGAAGTTCGGATACATGGTACAACATGGATGAACCTTGCAAACATCATGCTAAGTGAAATAAGCCAGGCACAAAAGACCACATACTGTACGATTATATTTATATGAAGTGTCCAGAAGAGGCAGGTCTATAGGGACAAAATATAGACCAGCACTTGCTCAGGGCTGAGGGAGTTAGCAGGTGCATGGGAAACGAGGGGTGACTGCTAAGGGTACGGGGTTTCTTTGGGGGGAGATTAAAATATTCTGAGACTGGATTACGGTGACGATTCCATAACCCAGGACATGTATTAAAACAATTGAATTGCATGCTTTAAATTTGATGATTTGTAAACTATATCTCTACAAAACTGATACAAAATGTAAACCACATTTCTCACTGAAGAAGTTTTGGGTGACCCTCCCATAAGTTGATGCCTACTGTGAGAGCACAGTATCATGATGCAAAAATGTTTGTTGAACCTCAAAGCTCACTAGATGAGGCACAGATGAGAAAACCTAATGCTTCTGTCAACCTAAAGATAGAGCACTGCAATGGGAATATGCGTTCCACAGTAAACGCTGCATATTCAGACAGGGAAGGAATCACATAATTATTCTGAGATAATTGTCCTCAGTACAGAGATCGGTAACAAGGACGATCCAGTCTGGGGCTGGACAGGCAATTGCTGGGCAGGTGTTCTTGCCAAAGCACCTTTTGTGTAAGGTTGTGATAGCCTTGGTGCAAGGTTTTGGGTTTTGTCATCATTTTTGTTATCAATATACAAGCATGAGAACCCTCTCTTCAAGGCCTTCCCTGACTCTATTTGTCAGGAGTTTTTGTTTGTTTGCTTGTTTGTTTTTCTTTAAACTAGTGAATCTTTTCTGACTTTTTTTTCTTTAACACTAGTGACCCTTTTTTGACTCTGACAATTTTCACATTTCCTCTTCTGATCAAGATCTTTCTTTAAAAGCCTCACTGATCAATCAACCTGTGGTTGCGTTTTGATGCCTCTCCGTGCTGGGATGGACCTGTCATCGTTGGTGGTCTCACCCCACTTTGAGGGGAATGATTGGTGACTAGGATCCAGTGTCAAAACCCTTTTAGCCACATCTGAGCAGCAAGGGAGGTTTGAAGGGAGTGGCTCCCTGGATAAGTCTACCTGGAGTGCATTGTTAAGTGCAGTTTTGTCTTTTCCATGATCTTTTGCTATCATCTGAAAGTGCTGGGCCAGCATTATGTTATTAGGAGTTGTACTTCTGCAGATCAGTTAACAAGTAACCAGGCATGGTGGCTCATGCCTATAGTCCCAGCTACTCAGGAGCCTGAGGTGGGAAGACTGTTTGAGTCCAGGAGTTCAAGGCCAGCCTGGACAACATAGCAATATCCTATCTCAAAAAAATTATCTTTATTCCTATGTATCCTAGATGGAAAAAAAATGACAAGTAACAGATACAAAGTTTAAAAAGGGGAAATAAAAAGTAAAATTAATAGTAATGTGACAATCCCAGTTTGCATCCATGAACTTGGTAGGCTTAAAGACGAATGAATCAATGACCATAGGGAATTAGGTAAGACTTGAATGATGTGGCCTGTTTTCTTCTTTTGTGTATATGGGTCTCAACTTTCCCAGAGGAATTTATCCAGGTACCACAATAAGAAATGCACAGGCATTTTCTTATTTAACCAATGAATACTAAAGGATTTTTTTTTTTTTTTTTTGAGACGGAGTTTCACTCTTGTCACCCAGGCTGGAGTGCAGTGGTGTGATCTCAGCTCACTGCAACCTCCGCCTCCCGGGTTCAAGCGATTTTCCTGTCTCAGCCTCCTGAGTAGCTGGGATTACAGGCATCCACCACTGCACCCAGCTAATTTTTGGTATTTTTTAGTAGAGACGGGGTTTCACCATGTTGACCAGGCTGGTCTCGAACTCCTTACCTCAGGTGATCCACCCGCCTCGGCCTCCCAAAGTGCTGGGATTACGGGTGTTACTAAAAGATTTTTAAAGGTTACGTTCTGTTAAGTTACCAGCAGAAGCTACTGATTGTGAAATTTCAATTTCATTATTATCCTGTCAAGTGAAAAGGATAGACATTAAGAGGAGTTGAGTTAGAGTCTCCTTATGATATGGAGTCTTGTTCCAATGTCCAGGGAAAACTGTTTACAACATGAAAACATCAACTTTTCCTCCCAGTTTGCAGCTTGAATATCTCTGGTTGTGGCATCAAGCAGTTTGGTGAACCTTATGTGTGGACCATACATCAGGCATGAGGCTTGTTTCTTAAAATGTGTTTAGGTTCATCTTACAGGGCTTTAGAAGAGAAGCAGTTTTAGTTTTTAGTTGGAGAATTATAACCAAACAATGAAGAAAATTAGGAGAATTCAGGATCTAGCCCATTCTACAGGTAGATAACAAGAACTCGAAAACAAGGCTCAGAGCTACAGTCTAATAACAAGGGTATGATAGTTTTTCTTTAGAAACATAACTTTTTCTCCCTACACTGATGACGTAGGTTATCAGATTTAAAAACCTTTTGAGGCTAGAAAGCCAAACCTGGGCAGATCTTCGATTGTACTTACAACCTGAATGTTCCTGGGCCTGCCAGGAAATTACAATTTTTATTTACTGATTGTAAGGCTGGAAAGTCTTAAAACCAGGCTTTCTATGGATACCTTCAAATATGATATTCAGTCAAAACCTCTGTACTATAATCAATGTTTCCAATTGTATCCTGCTGTAAAGAGAGAATAGATTTTTGTTGAACTTATATAAATAATTATATTGTACTTAAAACTAGGACTATACATGAATAGTTTCCAAATTTTGGAACAATCAAGTAAACAGTAAAATCAAATGCCTCCACCTTTGTTCACTAAACTATACCAAATTGTTGTAAACTATAGACAGCTTTTGAGAGACAATTTTCTTAAATCTGGAAAATAAAACATGTAGGTAAAGAACTTACAATGTTTCAAATAAAAGTCATTAAAACGTGTTAATTTTTAAATTTCATATAATTAGTATTTTGTTTTGCTTGATCTTGGTTAGCAGTGTCATGGACCCGTCAGTTTCTTCATCAGAGTTCTGGAAATTCTTTTTCCGTTCATGATCTTAAAGTTATCAGAAATCTGTGTCCAAGAGTTCTTGCAAGTCTTTTTATGAAAGGCAATTTGGGACTGTAGTTGATTGCAAATACTTTTAGGGAATAATCGAAAATAATAACGAGAGAAGCCCAAATGCTTAGAATGGCCGTGGTTAAAAATCTGATGAAAATTCCTAATTATCAAGGAAATTTAGTTACTTACATACAACATATGGCTTTTTTTTTCTTTTTTTTGGCAGAGTTTCCCTCTGTCATCCAGGCTGGAGTGCAGTGGCACGATCTTGGCTCACTGCAAGCTCCACCTCCTGGGTTCACGCCATTCTCCTGCCTCAGCCTCCCGAGTAGCTGGGACTACAGGCACCCGCCACCATGCCCGGCTAGTTTTTTTGTGTTTTTAGTAGAGATGGGGTTTTCAACATGTTAGCCAGGATGGTCTCAATCTCCTGACCTCGTGATCCACCCGCCTCAGCCTCCCAAAGTGCTGTGATTACAGGCGTGAGCCACTGTGCCCGGCCAACATATGGCATTTTAAGATAACAACCGGAATCATGACTGACAGCTGGACTGATACCAGGACCATGAAACTTATAAATTTCACATCATCTTTAGAATGCATTAATAACATAGTCATACAAATATAGCTTCAGAAAAAATGTAATATAACAACGAAAATTATGACAGATAACATATTAGATTTCTATGAGTTTACATAATTTTTGAAACATATCAACAACATACCGATAAATGTATCTGAAAGAAGATCTAGTATCACTTATAATTTGACAATGCTTCCCTACAATTTACCAAATAAGCCTGATTATTTAATGTCTCAACAAGACGAGAGATACATGTTTTGAGTCTCTTCAGGAGCACAAATAGAAAATCCAAAAGTTAGTTCTAGGTCAAAAAGACTTAATTTGGTATTCTGATATTTGGGAAGCCTACAAAATATATCAAAAAGTATAAAACACTTGATCAAAACAGAATCACAGGGCCAGGCGTGGTGGCTCGTGCCTGTAATTCCAGCACTTTGGGAGGTTGAGGCAGGTGGATCACTTGAGGTCAGGAGTTCAAGACCAGCTTGGCCAACATGGTGAAACCCTGTCTCCACTAAAAACACAGAAATTAGCCAGGCGTTGTGGCAGGTGCCTGTAATCCTAGCTACTAGGGAGATTGAGGCAGGAGAATCGCTTAAATCTGGAAGGTGGCAGTTGCAGTGAGCTGAGATTGCACCACTGCACTCCAGCCTGGGCAACAGAGTGAGACTCCTGTCTCAAAAAAAAAAAAAAATTACAAGTCATGTAAAATATTAATCATTCATTTAAGCAGAGTGATAGTTAAAATACTTCAAAAGCAAATACGGAAAGTTACATGAATGTAAAAGCCTTAACCCATTTAAAGCTCAGTTTTCCGCTTGAGTAATCAAAAACTTAATAAAAAAACAAATCTAACTTGATAAAATGTAAAAATGTCTTGTGTTTAGGCTAGTTACAAAAAGTAAAGAAGAACCTCCTGCTGTATGATTGCTTCTCCTTAGATAACCCAGAAGTCAAACCTGAAGAAAAGGGTACTTGAATTTAATTAGACACAGGAAGAGTGCGTCCAGGGTTATGAGTGTTCACTTTATCATAGAGGACTGTAAACAAGCAAAGGAGTGCCTGGAGCAGGGAATTACATGACTCTTAGTAACAGCACAGGAATTTTCTTGGTTACACAGAATAATCCAGACACATCAGGAAAAGCCGGCCAGGCCAGTGGCTCATGCCTGTAATCCCAGCACTCTGGGAGGCCAAGGCAGGAGGATTGCTTGAGCCCAGGAGTTCGAGACTAGCCTGGGCAACATAGGAAGACCCCCCCATCTCTACAAAAAATGGGAAAAAAAGAAACATTTCAGGATTAAACATCAAAACCTCTTGCAATTTTCCTAAGGGCAAATCAATACTTTAAGAAAACCTTGTTCTAACATAGGTGATATGGTTTGGCTCTGTGTCCCCACCCAAATCTCCACTCCATTTGTAATCCCTAGGTGATATGGTTTGGCTTTGTGTCCCCACCCAAATCTCCACTCCAGTTGTAATCCCTAGGTGATATGGTTTGGCTCTGTGTCCCCACCCAAATCTCTACTCCAATTATAATCCCTATAATCCCACATGTTGAGGGAAGAACCCGGTGGGAGGTGGTTGGATCATGGAGGCAGTTTTCCCCGTGCTATTCTTGTGATAGTGAGTGCATTCTCAGGAGCTCTGATGGTTTTATCAGGCAGTTTCCCTGCTCTTGCTTCTCTCTCTCACCTGCCACCATGTAAGACATGCCTCTTCCCCTCTGCCATGACTGTAAGTTTCCTGAGGCCTCTCCAGCCATGAGGAACTGTGAGTCACTTAAACCTTATTTCTTTACAAATTACCCAGTCTCAGGTAGTATCTTTATAGCAGTGCGAGAATGGACTAATACAATAGGGGACCAAGATTTTTGGTTTTGTGCTACTTACCCTGGTAGGAAATCTAATGAAGGCTCTGGACCAAAATTTTGGGTAAACAGTTTCCATGCAGTTTAAAAATAAAAATGAAAAACGCCATTTCTACCCCCACCCACTTCTTTCTTTTTTTTTTTTTTTCATTTTCAAATGAGGTTAGGGCTAAATTTTCAACTGTTTACATTTTAGCTAGGTGGGCCAGGCATGGTGGCTTATGCCTGTAATCCAAACCCTTTTGGAGTCTGAGGCAGGTGAATTAAGGCAGGTGAATTACTTGAGCTCAGGAGTTCTACACCAGCCTGGGCAATAGATTGAAACCCCATCTCTATAAAACGACAACAAAACTAGTCATGTCTGGTGGTGCATGTCTGTAGTCCCACCTACTTGGGAAGCTGAGGCAGGAGGATCACTTGAGCCCGGGAGGTCAAGACTGCAGTGAGCCATGATTGTAACACTGTACTCTAGGCTGGGTAACAGAGCAAGACCCTGTATCTATATATCTATATCTATATCTATATCTATCTATATATCTGTATCTGTATGTGTATCTAGATCTATATCTATCTATAAAAGAAAAAAAAACATTTTAGCTAGGATTGACTGCATTGTATAAGAATCTCCAAGAAGACTTGAACTAGCAGCAAATGTCTTTTGGTTGCTGGTCTTGTTTGCTTGGTTAGAGATGTGGGCAGGAAGCATTGCAGCAGGGTTTTGGTTTTATTTTGTTTTTGGCTTTTTCTTTTTGGACTCTGCATGGCAGAAAAAGTAATACAATTTTTATGCTGGACAGAGATACCTTACATTATTGCTCTGTGCTCCAGCTTTTGACCTCTGTAATCTGAGAGCCTAACTTTTATAAACATTTATGAATATGTAGTTCCTTTTCTTTTAGATTATTAATTTTTCAATTTAGTGCTCCATCACCATAAGCAATTGTTAGTCAGTCAAACCTAAATTGATGTCTCTAAAAGGTGTCTAGGTTGTTGGTTACCATGGAGCTGTCGGAATTTCTAAAGCCGTTAATTTGAAAGCCCTTTAAGACTTTGAAAAAAATCTTGGCTAGAATGCCATAAGCAGTGAGTTTCATCTCAACCCAGCAGAAGAGTCAGAAAATTCAAAATAGGCAAAAAAAAAAAAAAAAAAAAAAAAAAAGTTGGGGGAGAGATACAGACCTTAGAAGACTCCATGTTAACTCTATTGCCCCAAGGTTGTTTTTTTGAGAGGGTTGCTTTTTTAGAGAGTTCAAATAATGGCCATTGAGCTCTGAATTTTCCTTGGTGTCATTTTGCCAATCACTTAAAAAATGTGCATGAGAATGGGCCACAATATGTAACTGGCTGGAATCCCAGCACACCAGGCATACCTTAATGTGTTAGAATCTCATTCAATTCTTATTAATCTCTTGAGAGCAAAGAAAATCTGCAAATCCAGCCAGGGAATGTCAGGAGTTTAGACCATGTTTGAGATGGCGGTGGCTGCCCTGATGGCCTTTAGTTAGCAATTCTGCACTCACCATTTAGAATGTTTATTTTTGTTCTCAGAAGATTTTTAAAAACCATCAAGGGGAAAGACTCAAATCAAGTCAAAAGGAACCAAGGTAAGAGTGTTCACAAAAATTTTAACCTAGGTGTCCACATAGAACAAAATGTTAAACCAGGCATGCAGATCAAAAGTGAATTCACAAGTAAACACATGCCTTACAGAGAGAATGTTAATTCTGTACAAATCAGAGCATTCAACCCAGAAAGATTTATGCCTTTGTACCAGAAAGGACTTAGCAGAAAAGACAAAAAGGCTGTTTATCATCTCGGGCTGGATGTGTGGTCCTTTATCAAGGCAGCCTCATCCAAGTCACATTCTGAGTAGCATCAAAAAGCCTCCAGCACAAAGAGAAAGGCTCAGCCTGAGAAAGGACTCGCCAGGGTGAAAAATCAAGCTGTGGAAATGAAGAACTCAAACAGCTGGAGTAAATACTGCACAACGGCTCCAAAAAATGGGAGTAAAAATGATTTCTTCCGATGGTGATATTTTCCTAGTCCCATTTCTGACACCATATGTATCAGTCGAAGTAACAGAGAGAGGCTCACTCAAAGAAGAAGTAACTTATTCAAGAATAGAACATTGAAATGGGAATACACATGCCACAGTAAATTACGTGCATATTCGGGTAAAGGAAGACAAAGGGTTCTAAAGGGAAAATTCGGAGGATGACAGAATTAGTTTGAAAGAATTATTCCGGGCTACAAAGATCAATAGCAAGGGTGATGCCAGTCCAAGGTTGGACAGGCAGGTGCTGGGCAGACATCCTTGCAGAAGTATTTTTTGTGTAAGGTTGTGCTGGTCTTTGTGCAAGGTTTTGGGTTTTGCAGCGTCTTCTATCATATTTTTTGTTATTCGATGGATGTGGGAACACTCCCTTCACGGCGTTCACTGGCTCCATTCGTGGGGGCTTTTTGTTTGTTTGTTTTTCTAACACAAGTGCCTTCATTTTGATTCTAATGACTTTTATGCCTCCACCAAAATTAACCTGTGAGAAACAGTCTATGTTACAATACTACAGGTGCCTTCAAATTTACATTTTACAACTAGGTTTTTGAGTTTTTTTTCTTTTTTTTGAGATGGAGTCTCTCTCTTGTCACTCAGGCTGGAGTGCACTGGCGTGATCTTGGCTCACTGCAACCTCTGCCCCTCGGGTTCAAGTGAGTCTCCTGCCTCAGTCTCCTGGGTAGCTGGGATTACACCCAGGTGTGCACCACCATGCCCGGCTAATTTTTGTATTTTTAGTAAAGACGGGGTTTCACCATGTTGGCCAGTCTGGTCTCAAACTCCTGACCTCAGGAGATCCACCCGCCTCGGCCTCCCAAAGTGCAGGGATTACAGGCATGAGCCTCTGTTCCCAGCCATTTTCACTCATTTTCACTGAGTGAAAGGACGGGATAGCACGTGGAGGAGTCTCGCCAAATGCCGTGGAAGCTTTTACAGGAAGGAGGGAAGCTGAACGGTCATCGGATGTGGTGCAGGCCATTCTCTTTCAACCTCTCAACAATGGTCACACTTTCAGGGAGGAAGACCTGGGGTATGTATCGGTCTTATCAAGAAAAGCTGTTTCTTTTCCTGTTTTATTTTATCCCAAAAGCTTAAAAGCCCCACCAGGTTATTCTTTTTAAAAATATAAATGGGAGGGTAGCATTGCCTCTCACAGGACTGCTGAGAACCACGCTCGCTGAGGTCACTCACAACTAATACAGCTGTTTCCTACATCACTGATTTTCTAGGGGAAGGCGCCCAGTCCCCAGGAGCACAATCTGTCCTGGCCATGCTTGTCCACCGAACTGCAGCTTACACTCTGCAGGTCCTGGAGCCCAAGAAAGACCCCGGGAGGGAGCTCCCGGCCACGCCCAGGTCCTGGGCCCCGGCGAGGCAGCCATCACCACTTCACAGGTGAGCTCTGTCAAAACCGGCAGCTTCTAAGTACAGTCAGTTACCAGTGCGCCGTGAAATAGTTCTCAAACTGGTTGCCATACACAGGCATCTTATTGCATTTGACTTTATTGTGCTCAAAGATACTGCATTTTGCACAAATTGAATTTGTGGCAACTCTGCCTTGAACAAGTCGGTTGGCACCGTTTTCCCAACAGCTCCTGCCCACTTCGTGTCTCTGTGTCACATTTTGGTAATCCTCACAGTCCAAACTTTTTCATTTTTATCACCTATGGTGATCTGTCATCAGTGATCTTTGATGTTACTACTGCAATTGTTTTGGAGCACCGTAACTGCCCACGTGAGACACCAAAATTAATTGTGTTCTGACAGCTCCCCTGACCCGGCGTTCCCGTCTCTCTCCTGTCCTCAGCCTCCCTATTCCTTCAGACAGAACAATATTAAAATCTGGCCAGTTAATAACCTTACAATGTCCTCTACACATTTCACTGAAAGGAAGAGTTCCAGGTACCTCACTTTAAATCAAAAGCTAGAAATGATTAAGCTTGGTGAGGAAGGCACATCAGAAGCCGAGATAGGCCAAAAGCTAGGCTTCTTACACCAAATGGTTAGCCTAATTGTGAATGCAAAGGACAAGTTCTTGAAGGAGATTAAAAGTGCGACTCCAGTGAACACAAACGATAAGAAAGTAAAACAGCCTTATTGCTAATACAGAGAAAATTTCAGTGGTTTAGATAGAACATCAAACCAGCCGTGATACTCCCTGAAGCCACAGCCTCATCTAGATGGAGGCCTTAACTCCCTTCAACTCCATGAAGGCTGGAGAGGCGAGGAAGCTGCCTCTCTCCACTTTCTTCAGAAAGAAGAAAGGTTGGAAACCAGCAGAAGTTCATTCATGAGGTTGAAGGAAAGAAGCCGTTTCTGTAACATAAAAGTGAAGGTGAAGCCTCAGCTGCTGGTGGAGAAGCTGCAGCAAGTTCCCCAGAAGACCCAGCTGAGACCACTGATGAAGGAGGCTGCACTAAACAACAGATTTTACATGCAGATAAACAGCCTTCTATCGGAAGAAGATGCCGTCTAGGACTTTCATAGGTGGAGAGGAGAAGTCAGCGCCTGGCTTCAAAGCTTCAAAGGACAGGCTGACCCCCTTGCTAGGGGCTAATGTTGAAGCCAGTGCTCATTTGCCATTCTGAAAATCCCAGGGCCCTTAAGAATGATGCTAAATCTCCTCTGCCTGTGCTCCATCCGCGGAACAACGAAGCCTGGATGACAGCACCTCTGTCCACAGCATGGCTTACCGCATGTTCTAAGTCCACTCTTGAGACCTGTTGCTCAGAAAGAGAGATTCTTTTCAGAAAAATTCCTGCTCATGGTCACCCAAGAGCTCTGATGGAGACGTACAGGAGAGGAATGTTGTTTTCATGCTGCTGACACCACATCCACCCCGCAGCCCAAGGATCCAGAATGATTCTGACTTTCAAGTCTTATTATTTCAGAAATACGTTTTCTAAGGCTATAGTTTATTCCTCTGATGAATCTAGGCAAAGTCAATTGAAAACCTTCTGAAAGGAATTCATCATTTTACATGCCATTAGGAACATTCATGATTTATGGGAGGACGTCAAAATATCAACATTAACAGGGGTTTAGAAGAAGTTGATTCCAGCCCTCAGGGATAACTTTGGGGAGTTTGAGGCTTTAGTGGGGGAAATAACTTCAGACGTGGTGGAAATAGCAAGAGAACTAGAATTAGACGATTAGACGGGGCCTGAAGATGGGACTGAACTGCTGCAATCTCAGGATGAAACTTGGACGGACGAGGGGCTGCTGCTTCTGGACGAGCAAAGAAAGTGGTTTCTTGAGATGAAATCTGCTCCTGATGAAGACACGGTGAAGATTGTTGAAATGAAACAAAGAATTTAGAATATTCCGTAAACGAGTTGATAAAGCAGCGGCAGGGTGTGAGCAGATTAACTGATTCTGAACAAAGCTCTGCTGTGGGTAAAACGCTGTCCATCGGCATCACACTCTCGTGAAAGCAAGAGTTGATCAACACGATAAAGTTCGCTGCTGTCCTATTTTTAAAAATTGCCACAGCCACCCCAGCCGTCAGCTGCCACCACCCTGATCAGTCAGCAGCTGTCAGCACTGAGGTAAGACCCTCCAGCAGCAAGAGATTTGGACTCACTGAAGGGGCAGACGGTCGTCATTTTTTAGCAATAAATTAGTTTTCAATTAAGGCATGTGCATTTTTTAAGACATAATGGTATTTCACAGTTAATAAGACTACAGTATAGTGTAAACATAATTTTATAAAGCACCAGGAAACCAGAATGATGCATGTGACTTGCTTTATTGTGATACTCACTTTATTGCCGTGGTTTGGAACTGCAGCAGTAGCCGTTGCCAGTTTGTTGGGGTGAGCATCTTAGACATTTAAAGCAGCCATTTCCACGTGTTGTTTTTATTCTAATATTTTTAGTATATTGATAAACAACATAAGAACACATGTCCTTCTTTTAGAAAATCCAAAGTATAAAATTCACATTTATAGAACATAAAATAGAGCAGAATATTGGCCTTATAATAGCACAAACCTCCTGAAGTAGTGGTTCTTAAACTTCAATATACCTCACGATCGCACAGGGAGCTCTTTAAAATGTCCTGTGGACCTGAACGGATGAGCCCTCCCAGGAGATCAAGCAGAAGAGGCTCAAGATATCACTCCCAGAAACTCGCTCCCTCAGCAGGTAGTGGTGAGGGCAACATGAGCAGGGCCTTCCTCCACCTCACCTGGGCCGCAGCTGGGATGCGCGTGAGCCCGGACCTTCCTCCGTCTCTCCTGAGATGCAGCTGGGATGCACGTTGCTGGGGGAAAATGGCAAGGACGCCAGTGAAAAGCACCGGGTAAGAATCGGTGCATTAGGCCCAGGGTGTTAAAGTGTCCTGCTGGAAGGAAGACTCAATCCTCCCAGGGTATCACCTCTGCTGGCCTTGCTGCTTTCACGAGTGAAAGAAGCTGCTGGCGCCGACCTGTGGGCTCTCTGTGACTGACGTGGTTTCATTTTGGCATAACTTGGAGCCACTGCAGGCTGGGGCAAAACAAAAGCAGGTCTCTTCTGTCTCAGCGGGAGTTCCCTGCCAACCTTTTGTGGACAGAGCAGCAGGGAGTGCAGTCTTGCCGGCCTTCTCTGTGCAGGGCGAGGTCTGGGCCAGGAGGCTCTGCAGCTGAGACCAGGGCGGCCCTGTCTGGTCATCCCCACGCAGACATCCCACCCTCCCACTGGCCCACGGAGCAGCTACACCTGCCGCTCTTCTGTGGACCAAGGGCACGGTGGACGGCAATGCTGTTTCACTTGGGATCAGGCCAACTGAACAACGCGGTCCGGAGTCAGAGGACTGCCATTGTCATTTACCTCGCCTCCTTTTTCTCAGTATCACAAAGCCCTCCTGGACTCAGACCTCTCAAGGAGGAGTGTGGAACCCCCGTGTTCTCTGACCCCCGCCTCTGTTTCCTTGGCCGCCATCTCCATCCTGCCATCCCTCACAGCCTCCCTGGCCTAGCTTCTTTCACAGCCCCGGGTCCTCAGGCCTGGCCAGGTGCTGAGTGTGGCCACTTTTCTCCAGGGTTTCCAGCTTCCAGGCTCCCCATACAGTACAGAGCAGACTGTGTGTAACATATTGGGTGAGCTATGAAGCCTAACCCTACAATGAGCCCATCAGCTGACCTGAAATCCAGGGTGTCACCAACATCACAACAACCGCTGGAGAGCTCCCCATCCCACTCTGCCCTTTGCTTCCCCACCAGCAGATCCACCAGCCTCAACCTGGTGTTGATCATG
The DNA here is from genome assembly GCF_000001405.40 of Homo sapiens. NCBI lineage: Eukaryota > Metazoa > Chordata > Mammalia > Primates > Hominidae > Homo > Homo sapiens. The sequence continues at coordinate 99,429 of NT_187617.1, read as the reverse complement.
TTCCTTTTCTATGGTGTTTTATTGCATGAGTATATATATATATATATATATATATACACACACACATACAAAGATATATATATACACACACACACATATACAAAGATATATATATATATACACATACAAAGATATTGTTTAGTTTGGCTTGTTTCTGAGGTTTATAAAAATAGCATCATATATATTCTTCAGTGATGGTTGTTGCACTAATCATTGTGTATCTGCATCTTCCTCTAAATGATTTTGTTTGGCTGTGGTTTGTTGATTGGGATTGCTGTATAATATCCTATTACGTGGCTGTAACAGAACGTGTTCATGCCATCTTTATACATGGACATTTGGTGTAACAGAATGTGTTCCTGAGTCTTTATACATGGACATTTAGTTGCTTTCATGGGAAGTACTGCAGCGAACATTCTGTATGATTCTTGGTGCACCTGAGTTAAAGCCTCCGGAGGGTGTGCGTGTGGAGGAGGGTGTGTGTGTGGAGGGGACTGCAGAATCATAGAGTGTGCAAATGTTCAGATGAATGAAGTGACAACCAATTTTTTGAAATGGTTGTTTTAATTTATAATCCCACCAGCAACAAAGGAGTTACTTTCCATCCACATCCTCAACAAGTCTATGTTATCCAACTTGGTCTCTGCCATGCCAAGTAAAAACCTGTGTTAAAATGAAAACTTGTAGTTCTGATTGTCAGTCTCCTAATGACCATATGGTTTAGCTTATTTTTCTATTTTTTATCTGCCATTTGAGTTTTTTTTCCTGTGAAATGCCTGTTCATGTTTGTTGCTCATTTTTCTGTTGGGGTGTTTGTCTTTTTATTACTGATTTGTAGTAGTTCCCTGTGGCTTCTGAAGGAAAGTATTTTATTGTTTATATGTTACTCATGTTGTCTACCAATTTTGTGTTTGTCTTTTTCATTTTCTTTCTGAGACACTTTGATGAACAGAAGCTGTTAATTTTAAGAATGCCTTCCCTAACATGAGGATTTTAAAGATATCTTCCTTTTATACTTTTAAAATGTATGAAATTTGCCCTTCACAGCTAACCATTTACTTAATAAGAAATGGATGTTTCATATATGATGTAAGGCAGGAATCCAATTCATTTTCCATATGAATAACCAATTGTCCCAGCACTATATATTGAAAAACTTCTGTTCTCTTTGATCTGTGATGTCATCTCTGATATATACCAGTCTCTGTTTTTTTTTTTTTTTTTTTTTTGAGACAGGGTCTTGCTTTGTTGCCCAGGCTGGAGTGCAGTGGCGTGATCTCAGTTCACTGCAACCTCTGCCTCCCTCATTCAAGTGATTCTCCTGCCTCAGCCTCCCGAGTAGCTGGGACTACAGGCATGTGCCACCAAGCCTGGCTAATTTTTTTGTATTTTTTAGTAGAGACGGGGTTTCACCATGTTGGCCAGGCTGGTCTCGAACTCCTGACCTCAGGTGATCCGCCCACCTTGGCCTCCCACAGTGCTGGGATGACAGGCGTGAGCCACGCACCGGCCAGGCCAGATTTTCTATTCTGGCTTCTACTGCGCTGTTGGAATTGCTAGAGCTCCGTAAGTCATGACATCTGGGAGGGCCAGGGCCCCACGATTCTTTAGAAGTTTCTTCAGAAGTTTTGTGGCTGTTCTTGGTATTTGTTGTTTCATAACTTGTAGAATTAATGTGTCAAGTTTATTGATAAAACCTGTTAGGGCCTTAACAGGGCTGTGTGGAATCTAAGTCGCTCTGAGGAGAACTGGCAGTTTTGTGATTTGAATTTTCCCATCTGTCAACTTGGTCTACCATTTCACTTGCTTAGGTCCATTTCAAAGTCCTCCAATAAGGTTTTATGATTTTCTCCGTATAGCACTTGCTCATTTTTGTTTTGTATTTATTCCTGGTTACTTTATTTTCTGTTGCTATTGCACACGATAGCTTTTTAAAAACTGCCGTTTTCCGGCTGATTGCTGCTGGCTTACAGAACTGCAGTGGATTTTCATGAACTGGCGCCACGCACTCACCTTACTAAGATCTTTTATTTCTAATAGTATATCGGTAGATTATTTGCAGTTTCCATGGTAAAAACACATATCATTTATGAATGATGATTGTTTTATGCTTCCCTTCCAAGTTTTGTAGCTTTTCTTTCTTTTCTTGCATTGCTGTGGGTAGTTTAGCCCCATAGTGCAGTGATTAACAGAATCAGTTATAGTGGGTCTCCTTGTCTTATTCCAGATGGTAAAGGGAAAGTTTCCGACATTTCTCCATCAGGAAAGATTTATGCTAAGGGTTTTTCTGGCCTGTCTTTTCTCAGGTTAAAGAAACTTCAGTTCATCCCTAGTCTTCTAAAAGATTTTTATGACTGTTTTAGAATAATATCAAATGGTTGTCTGCCTCTGTTGAGATGACCATATGGTTTTTCTCTTTCATTTTGTTAAGACAGGGAAATACATATATTTGCATATGTGTAATGTATACATTATTCTGTTTCTAAAACCAGATTCAGTTATGTATTTCTGGGATAAACCCAATTCCATAAGTAGATTTGTAGTTAGCTAATATTTGACTTAATCTTTTTATGGCCATGTTTACAAGTGAGAAACGCCTGTGTTCCTCTCTTGTGTTATCCTTGCTGAATTGGAAATCAAAGGTGTATTGGGCTTATAGAATGAGTTGGGAAGCTTTCCTCTTTTCTGTCTCTAATTCCATTTTTGAAAGCATTTTTATAAGTGTGGGATGACCTTTTTAAAATGTTTGATATAACTTTAAGCCTTTCTTGTCTTGGTATTTCTTTGTGGGAAAATTTTAATTTACTGATTAGATTTCTTTCATAGTTAAATGTCTGTTTAGACCTGTCTCATCTCAAAATGAGATGTTTCACTTTTGGAAATTATATTTTCTAGGAATTTGCCAATTTCTTTGGATTCATTATTGTTCTTTTTCATCATCTTAAATTGGATGTTTAGCTCATTAATTTTAAGCCTGTGTTCATTTGAATCAAATCTCAGAGCTATAAATGCCCTACTAGATCTCACTTTTGCTTCCTCTCACAAGTTTCAAAATAGTCAATCATTCGAGTATGGCTTTATTTCTATCGCAATCTTTTTCTTTGATGAAGGAGTTAGTTCAAAGTACATCTTAAAATTTCCAAATGTATAGGAAATTTCTTTATCTTTGTATTGTTGATTTCTAAATTAATTGCACTATGGTTAGATAACATAAAATGTATGATACTATTATTCTGAAATTTAATGCAGTTAGCATAAAGCCCAGTAGTATATGGTTAATATTTGCTTCAAAGGAATGTGTATTATTTTCTGATTTGGTTCAGCATTCTATGTCTATCTAATAAATTAAGCTTGTTGAATGTGTTATTCAAATTTACTATATGTTTACTTTTTTTCTAATTGAAAAAGCAGTAGTCTAAAGAGATGTGTCAAAATCTCTCACTTTAAAAGTGCATTTGCCAATTTCGCCTGCGGTTTTATCAACTTTGCTTGTGTGTGTGTGTCTTCCCTCCCTCTCTCTGTCTCTCTCTCTCTCTCTATATATATATGTGCGTGTGTATGTATTTTTTCTCCTCTGTTACACACTTTTCCTTTGGGAATCTATGGAGATCTGCTTTTTTGTCTATTTTAAAAATTTGTGTTCACTTCATTGTTGTTCTTTTGGTGATTGCCATTGAAATTTTACTTTGCATTTCTAACATAATAAATTTAAGTTTAATACTTCAGTTTCCTTCTCAACAACATAAACCTTAGAACACTCTTCTCCAGACTTTCAAACTAACATTGTTCAATATTTTAGCTCTATAACTTTTAAAACTCCTAAGTTAGATATTGTGGTTATTATCTTATAGACAGTGTTTGTTTAGATTTAACATATATTTAACAATTTATTTGTTTGTCATTTCATCTGATATTTTATAACTTCCTTTTTTAAAGTAACAATTTATTAGGAAAAAGATCTATCTCAATGTAAAGGAACTGGTTCTACTAAAACAATGCATATCTAACAGACATCTAAAATAGTTATAGAATATGTAATCTATACGTAATACACGCTGCGTAATACACGCTGCGTAATACGCACTGTGTAATACACGCTACGTAATACACGCTACGTAATGCTGCGTAATACACGCTACGTAATACACGCTGCATAATACATGCTACACACCACACGATGTTATGCATAAGTCTATCATGCCCTTATGGGATTAGTTTCCACCTGCTTAGAGAACATTCTTTAGAACTCCTTTAGGAAAGTTTTATTGGAGTTTAACTCTCAGTTTCTGTTTCTTTGAGAATGTTTTATTTGCTCTCATTGTGGAAAGACGGTTTGGGTAGACAGCAGTAGAATGACAATTTGTTTTTAGAAGACATGATTCCACTGGATTCCAGTTTCTATTTTTGCTGTCGAAAATCTGGGCATGGCACAGTGGCTCACGCCTGTAATCCCAACATTTTGGGAGGCCGAGGAGGGTGGATCACCTGAGGTCAGGAGTTCAAGACCAGCCTGGCCGACATGGTGAAATCCTGTCTCTACCGAAAATACAAAAATTAGCCAGGCATAATGGCACACTCCTGTAATCCTAGCTACTCGGGAGGCCAAGGCATGAGAATGGCTTGAACCTGTGAGGTGGAGGTTGCAGTGAGCCAAGACTGTGCCACTGGACTCCAACCTGGGTGACAGAGCAAGACTCTGTCTTGAATAAAACCAAAACAAAAAAAAAAAAGAAGAAAATAAAATCTGTTAGTCTTATTGTTGGCTTTATAGGTGATCTGTCTTCTGTTTGTCTTCGGTGCCCTGAATTTTTTTTTTTTCTTTTTTGAGACGGAGTTTTCGCTCTTGTCGCCCAGACTGGAGTGCAATGGAGCGATCTTGGCTCACTGCAACCTTAGCCTCCTGCCTCAGCCTCCCAGGTAGCTGGGATTACAGGTGCCCGCGACCATGCCCAGCTAATTTTTGTATTTTTAGCACAGACAAGGTTTCACCATGGTGGCCAGGCTGGTCTCAAACCCTTGACCTCAGGTGATCCACCCGCCTTAGCCTCCCGAAATGCTGGGAGTACAGGCGTGAGCCACCGTGCCTGGCCTCAGTGTTCTGACATTTTCTTGCATGTCAATGGAAGTGTCTATGGGTGGATTTCTTGCATGTGTCTATGGGTGGATTTCTTTTTATTTACTCTGTTTGGAATTTATTGTGTATTCACGACTCTCATCAATTCTTGCAGGTTTTCAAGCATCATCTCTTTAATTAATCATTTTTCCCTCTTCCTTTTTGGTCTCACTTCCTAGAACTATGAATAGATATTCGTTAGACCTTATTCTATAATCTCTTCCTCTTAATCTTTCAAATATTTTTTGCCTCCCTGTTTTTCTGTTATGCATTCTGCACAATTTCTCCAGCTCTAACCTCTAATTTTGGTGCCTCTGCGGGTCTGAGTCTGTTTTGTGTTCGGGTCGTGCGTGCTGACTTTTGCTCACGGACGCGTTCCTCTGCGTGTGTTTGCTGCTCTTTGGCCGTGAGCTCAGGTTTGCCTGATGTCACTCTGTGAGAACCCGGTGGTGTTTACTACTGGCTCAAGCTGGGGACCCCAGTGGGGAGCACATTTGCCTCCTCTGCTGGGCCTGGAGCCCCAGCTCACCTCCTGGCCCAGACAACCTTTAGGTGGCTCTGATGTGGCAAGTCCTCCCAGGGCAACCTCACCTTTTCCATTTCATTATGGGATTTCCCTCCTCTGAATTCAGGTCACGAAGGGAGCCTTGAAGAAGTCCCTTATTTCATTCAAGCCCAATACTGGCAGGAAAACCAAGTCTCAGGCAGGATCGGATGGTTTTGTTGGTGAGGACCCTTCCAAGTGTCTGGCCTGCCTTACTGCCATAAGTAGACATCCCCTCCGATTTTTCTTCGGTGTGTTTTTAACTGCATAAAATAGGCCAACAGGGAAAACCAGTTTCTTCCTCCCCCTCCTCCTCCTCTTCCTCCTCTTCTTCCTTTTGGGCTGGGTTTTGAGACAGAGCACGCATTCCAGAAGAGGCATGTGTTTGCGGTTGCTTTTATTTCGATACATGAGGCAGAGAAAAAGAGCAAAATGTGGAAAGTCCCCGTGAGTGGAGGGGCCCTGCTGATGTGACGCGGAGAAAGCGATGCCTCCACTGTCAGAATCTTGTCATTGTGGGGAGAGAGCTCCGTAAGACAAGGTGTCTATAAGCAAAAAGTACATCTGCATGGAAGATGCTATTCCATGATGGATTACCGTCAGAACAGTTTGCACCGTGCATCCTAACACACAGGCCAGTTGAATCTGCTCTATAAGGTGCGTGAGCATGGGGGCCGTTCCAGCTCAATCGACTATTCCCTGACTCTTTTTACCGCTCCCATGGGCTTGTCTGGATGGCACATTACTCTCAGTAAAACGGAGGAATAATGAAAACAAATGCGCTGCACTGTGGCTAAAGGGAACTGCTACCTTTTTCGTCGTTTTGCTTTTCTGTTTTTATGTTTTAAAGGAGGTGGTAGCGCACATGTGGACTTTGGAATGAAAAAGACAACCGGGAAAACGTAGATGGCTCGTGTGCTGTCTAGGAGAAGGCCGCTCCCGAGAGGTGAGGACCGCATCTGTGATTCTGTGGCCCGTGAGAGCAGCTGGTGCGCCCTGCAGGGCTGACAGGGCCGAGGATAGAACGTGCCGCTTTCTAATCACCGGTCAGAAGCGTGGGCCGGAACAGAGGGTCACGAGCCCTGAGCCCACGCGCACACACCGCCAAAAGCTTCTAGGGTGCATTTGATTGTGGTGGTAACTCTAGCGACTCTGAGTTAGAAGGATCCCGTTTTGTCTTAGAATTTTCACCAGGTGTGTTTTTAATTATAGCAGGGAGAGATGGCATTGAATGTTTTGCTGTTTGAGCCTTCCCATACAGCTCAGGTTTAATTTATGAAATTGTTATGAGAAGTCTGGCATTAAGAGAAGAAAACATATTTTAGGGTGAGTCTGATTCGTGTTTCTAAGCCCAACTTTCATTTAAAAATTCCCTTTGTCTGGTGCAGCCAGAGAGCTTCTGGCACCTCCCAACTCTTCTGTGGCACAGTTGTCACCTGAGGTCTACTCGGTACATTACATGGAAGTGAAAAAACTAATGCATTCTAACATTTATTTTCCTAACACATTTGTTCTGGCCATACAGCAGCAGGCCATTTGCGATTGCGTATTGTAATGCATTCTTTGCAGCTGGAAAAAGTACATATTTTGGAAAAATAAGCATAGGACTTATTTGACTTTAAATCATCAGATGAGTCTTAAAATGCCTTTTAAAGGAGACCTCTAGGCTTAGTGCTGAATGTGGGTTGTCCATGCAACTTAAGGGAGGATTTCTTCTGTTTATTTAAAAATAATTCCAAAACATAAAACTGATGACTTATTTGAATATTACTTAAAGAAGATTCTTATCATTTAGAGATATATGCTGAAATATTTGGAGATGAAATAGTATGATACCTGAGATTTATTTCAAAGTAACCTGGTTTAGGGACTAGTGGGTATGACCGAGATTAGATGGTGCTGCACTGACGGTGCTGGAGGGGGCAGTGGGACTGAGGACTGAGGGTGCTGGAGGGGGCAGTGGGACTGAGGACTGAGGGTGCTGGAGGGGACAGCGGGACTGAGGACTGAGGGTGCTGGGGAGGGGAGGACAGCAGGACTGAGGACCGAGTGTGCTGGAGGGGGCTGCAGGACTGAGGACCGAGGGTGCTGGAGAGGGTGGTGGGATGGAGGACTGAGGGTGCTGGAGAGGGGAGGACAGCAGGACTGAGGACCGAGTGTGCTGGAGGGGGCTGCAGGACAAAAGACCGAGGGTGCTGGAGGGGGCGGTGGGACTGAGGACCGAGGGTGCTGGAGAGGGGAGGGCAGCGGGACTGAGGACCAAGGGTGCTAGAGGGGGGAGGGCAGCGGGACTGAGGACCGAGGGTGCTAGAGGGGGGAGGGCAGCGGGACTGAGGACCCAGGGTGCTAGAGGGGGGAGGGCAGCGGGACTGAGGACCGAGGGTGCTAGAGGGGGGAGGGCAGCGGGACTGAGGACCGAGGGTGCTGGGGAGGGGAGGACAGCAGGACTGAGGACCGAGGGTGCTGGAGGGGGCGGTGGGACTGAGGACCGAGGGTGCTAGAGGGGGGAGGGCAGTGGGACTGAGGACCGAGGGTGCTGGGGAGGGGAGGACAGCAGGACTGAGGACCGAGGGTGCTGGAGGGGGCGGTGGGACTGAGGACCGAGGGTGCTAGAGGGGGGAGGGCAGCGGGACTGAGGACCGAGGGTGCTGGAGGGTGCAGGGGGACTGAGAACTGTTGGTGCTTTCGCATATGTTTGAAAATTTTCATAATACACAACGTAAAATGTTGTGTTAGAGGAAACATTCTTCCTCTATAAATTTCACTTGCAATTTATGTACAAATTACCTTCTAGTTTGCTTCTTTTCTTATCACTGCCAGGTTTCCATTACAGCCACTGGAGAGAGTTTCTAAGAAGCAGGTCCCCAGATGACTGTCTTAATGTGATTCAAAACAGAGAAGGGATTGGAGCCATGGACAGACGGCACAAGATAGAACCGAGGGTGGGCCGGACTTGAGAGAGTCCTTAACAGAAAGAAATCGCTCTCAGGGGATGCCTTAAAGTGCAGCATTTTACACTGTAGACCGTGAGCATCCTGGAATTTCAAGTTCTGTTCCATTGATCTTTATGTCTGTCCTTATGCTGATACCAGATGATCTTGATCCCTGTAGCTTTATAGGAAGTCTGAAATCCAGTGGCATCCATTCTCCAACTTTGTTCTTTCTCAAAATTGTTTTGGATTCTTCAGGTCCATGTAAATAAATAGTTCAGTTTGTCAATTGCCACAAAAGCAATTGCCACAAAAAAATTGATAGTGATTGCATTGAATCACAGCAATTTGTGGAGACAATATGTAAATAATATTGAACCTTTCAAAGAGCACAAATGTCTCTCCATTGGTTTTGCTCTTCTACGATGTTTGCGGTTTTTGCTGATGAAAACTCAGTGATGTTTTGTAGCTTTCAGTGAACGAATATTGCATGTCTTGTTATATTTAATACTATTTTATTATTTTTGATGCTATTGTAAATGGAATTGTTTTCAATTTTCAGGTTGTTTATTGATATTATATAAAATATAATTGATTTTTGTGTAATGATATTATATCTTACAATCTTGATAAGCTTGTTTATTAGTTCAGTAGGGCTCTTTTTTGTAAATTTCTTAAGAGTTTCTACATAGACGATTAGGTCATCTCCAATAGACAGTTTTATTTCTTCTTTTCAGTATTTATGGTTTTAACCCTCTCCTCCCCTTCCCCCTCCCCTCCCCCCTCCCCTTCCTCCCTCCCTCCTTTCCTCCCTCCCTCCCTCCCCCCTTTCCTTCCTTCCTTTCCTTCCTCCCTCCCTCCCTCCCTCCCTCCCTCCCCCCTTTCCTCCCTCCCTCCCTCCCTCCCTCCCTCCCTTTCTTCTTTCCTTCCTCCCTCCCTCCCTCCCTCCCTCCCTCCCTCCCTCCCTCCCTTCCTTCCTCCCTCCCCCTTTCCTTCCTGCCTCCCTCCCTCCCTTCCTTCCTTCCTTGGAAAGGAGTTAATCATGAAAGACTGAGGCCTTCCCTCCTAAGATGCTGAACAAGACAAGGCTGGCTGTTCTCACCACTTCTCCAGCACAATGTGAGAAATTATTGTTACAAGTCAGGCATTAAGAAAAGAAAACAGGCCAGGTGCAGTGGCTCACACTTGTAATCCCAGCACTTTGGGAGGCCAAGGTGGGCGGATCACGAGGTCAGGAGATCGAGACCATCCTGGCTAACATGGTGAAACCCCGTCTCTACTAAAAATACAAAAAAAAATTACCCAGGTGTGGTGGCGGGCACCTGTAGTCCCAGCTACTTGGGAGGCTGAGGCAGGAGAATGGTGTGAACCTGGGAGGCGGAGCTTGCAGTGAGCTGAGATCGCGCCACTGCACTCCAGCCTGGGTGACAGAGCGAGACTGACTCAAAAAAAAAAAAAAAAAAGAAAAGAAAACATTTTAGGGTGAATCTGATTCACATTTTCAAGCCCAACTTTCATTTAAACACTCCCTTCTTCTGGCACAGCCGGAGAGCTTCTGGCACCTCCCAGCTGTTCTGTGGCACAGTTGTCACCTGAGGTCTACTTGGTACATTACATGGAAGTGAATAAACTAATGAATTCTAACATTTATTTTTCTCCTCCAGCACAATGTGAGAACAGACAGTTTTGTCTTGTTTAACATCTTAGGAGGGAAGCCCTCAGTCTTTCGTGATTAACCATGATGTTAGCTGTAGGTTTTTTGTGCATGTCCATTAAAAGATGTAGGACGTTCCTTCTTTCTTGTTTGCTGTGAGTTTTTATCATGAAAGGTATTGGATTTTGTTAATGATTTTTTCATATCTATTGATGAACTGATTTGCAGATATTAAACCAATCTTGGATTTCTGGGATACACTTTAATTGATCCTGGTTTATAATCCATTTTATATGTGGTTGCATTTGGTCTGCTAATATTTTGTTAGGGGTTTTTGTATCTATGTTTGTGGAAGATATTGGTGTGAAGTTTTCTTGTAATGCTTAATCTGGCTTTGGTATCAGGGTGATCCTGGCCTCATAGAATGAATTGGGGAGTATTACTTACTCTTTGTTTTCCTGAAAAAGTTGTGTAGAATTGGTATTATTTTCTTCTTTAAATATTTGATAAAGTCGACCAATGAAGCCATTGGGGACAGGGCTTTTCTTTTGGGAAGATTTTTAAATGTCTTTACTTGTCGTAGGCCTATTAGGATTTTCCATTTCTTCTCAAGTCAGTTTTGGCCATTTGTGTCTTTCTAGGCATTTTTGCATTTCGTCTTTATTGGCATATGTTTGCTCATACCATTCCCTTAGCACGAGGTGGTGATGTTCCCTCTCATCACCGGCCTTACTAACTGTGCCTCCTCTCTCTTCGCGGTCAGCCTGTTTCCGGATCTCTCAACCACAGCGCTAGTAACATTTTGGGCTGAATAATCCTGTCTTTGAGGTCTCCACTGTGCACTGTAGACTGTGGCTGACATGCAGTTGGATTTTGCAGGTGAGATCTGTTTAGGGTCAACGGCTGTGTGAGGAAAGGAGAGGAATCAGGGCTGGGCGGAGGGAGATGCATATCGCAGCGTGGTCAAGCCAGCTGAGCCTCGGCCAGGCTCCAGAGTGAAGGCGGCCTTCAGAGAGTTCCCTGGCCGCTTCCCGGCCTTCCCCTCCCGCCTTGCTCATCCCTGGACGGGGCTCCCTACAGCAGAGCTCAGTTCCTCCTTCCTTGGGGCCTCAGACTCGACCCCCCTTCCTGCTGCTGGGCAGCAGAGGCTTCCTGGGGTGGCACTTCTGTGTTCACCCCATGAAGGCACTTTCTCTCTGAAGTTTACACACAAGGAAGACCCGTTTGAGGCCATGAAATGTGCACTGTGACAGTGACGAGCCTAGGGTCACACGGATTCATGGCTCCCGTGGAGCCACATTCCAGCATCTTTTGGGGGAGGACACTCCCTGCCGGGCAATGAGGAGCCAGTAGCAGGGTCTCCCCTCCCTGAAGACGGGCTGGACACAAATCACCTCATTTTCCACTCTGTCCACACCTGAGGCTGCATCTCAGCTGGAAAATTACACTGGAATTCTAAATAATAATCATTATTGTTTCTGGTTATTTTGAATCCACTGACAAAGACCTTTACAAAATAATTGCACCATTTGAGGTGCAGGGGAAGATTCTTGAGTTGGTGTGTGAGGAGAACATTAGGGAAATTCTGCAGTGGTGTTCTGTTTAGTAAGTATAATTGCAAGGAGTGTATCATGTTAAAACGCCTGACGTAGCGTCTTGTAATAACACATGGTTTCCGTCGAGAAGCAGATGGTTCTCGGCCTCCCCTTAGAATAAAACATCATCATTTCACCACACCCACAAGCTCCACTGCAGAGTGAGAGCAAAGCCGTATGCCGCACACTTCAGATCCGTGTAATTGCAGCCTGAGAACACTTTTTAGGGAGAAGTGCCTTTAAAAAGAAACAACTTATTAGAATATCAGATAAAAGGGTCCTGGAAGAATGGTATTCAGTAGTAACTATAGCTGTGGCTTACAGAAAAGCACAAATGAAACATTTCTATCTCGAAGACTTGTGGTCCCTGGATGTTTTAAACTTCATGTTTCTGGACAAAGTAAAAAAGACACACTCACTGTGCTTCAGATGCTTTCATTTCACCATAAGAAGACGTGAACAAGGTTTTTCTGCTCATATATTGAAACCTTTCACAAAAGTTCTCTTAAAAATGGAGATATAACTCGTACCATATAATTCATGCCTTTAAAATGCCCAATTCAGGGGTTTTTAGTATATTTACAAGGTTGTGCAGCCATTACCGCTATTCAGTTCCGGAGGGTTTTCATCACCAAAAGGAACCCGGGACCCTCAGGGTCAGGAACTTGCTTCCCAGTGTAATGGAAGCAGGCGGCCACTAGATGGAGACGTCTCTCCACCGCCTTGCAGGTGGGGCTCGCACCCCGGGGAGGTCAGAGGGAGGGACTCCGCGCAGGAGGCCGGCCTCAGCCCCGTGGCACCTGCAGGCCTCCGGACACCTGCCTCCGCCCCTCACTTCTCGCGAGACAGTTTCCCCAAATACCTTATGCCTAGTCCTGTCCGTGCAAGAGAGGCTCTTTAGGAAGAATGTGCACACACGTTCTTTATTTTACTAGTTATTTCTTACGTATTATTATACATTAATTCGAATGTGTTACAGAGAGTAATATAACAGGCACATTAGTCCATGATGTCACTCGTTTTACTTACAATGAGCCTAAGTGGAAAAGCAAAATTACATTTAAAATTAATTCGAGAAACATATTAAGTGACTGTCGGTTGAGGTGCAGACATGGCCAAGTCCTGTGGGGCACCCCAGCTTCTAGGCTCTGAAACAGCGCAGGAAGGATGCCTGTGGGAGGATGAAGTAAAAATCCCTTGACTTCCACGAGAATGGGACAGCCCCCTTCCAGGCGCAGATGTGTGCTCCACGTTGCCTGGGAATCGATGACTCTGTCTCACCTGCTCTCCCCTCCGGCCTCCAAGCAGGAGGCCCTTGATCCATTTGTGTGATCAGCCGCGGGGGACGAACTCCTCAGTCCTGGGGAGGTTCGTCCTCGGATAATGCAATCAGGAAGCTGGCTCTTTATGGAACTGGCCATCCCGGGCAGTGCTTGCAGTTATGGGGGCAAGAATACAGGCTGAGGGGCTGAGGGGGGTCTTTGGGCGGCACATGGCCATGGACGGGGCTTAGCTTACAATTTTGAAACCTGGAAATCAAGGTTTTGGAAACAAGCCTGATTGTAGGTTGAGTCACTCGGTGTTTTGGGGCCTCTGTCTGCTGGGGACGCACCAGCTGGGAGGGGAGGCAGCAAGTTCACCTGCTTCCTGTTCCCCCATGGGGCTTGGGTTCCTGTTCCCCCACGGGGAGCTTCTTGTTCTGCCACGGGGGCTTCCTGCTCCCCACGCTGCCCTGGCCTCCGCCTGTGCCTCTGTCAGCCAAAATCGCAGGCCTCAGAGGCTTCACATGCTCGGGGTAGGGTTTGACGTGGGCGGCAGTCCTGGGAAGTTAGAGGCCTCACCCCTATTTTCTAGATGAGAGAAGTGGCATTCAAAGCATTTAAGTAACTCTGGTTACTGGGGAGATGGTCTGTGAGCTTTGGTTCTTTAACTCCACACTTTCTTTTCATATATTCTACTTTCTCCGAATTATTTTCACCCCAGGAGAGTAAGGTACTTGCCTGTAGACTCACATGCTCTTGGCCACCTTCTAGCGCGGTAACTACCCACTTTGTCTTGGGGAGAGTGTGGAGTGAGGAAACCTGAGACAGCCCAGGATTTCTCCACCGCACACAGTGTTGCAATTTTTTGAGGGTGGGGGTGGAAATTCATGCACTAATTGCCTTTATGAGAACAAATGATGGCGTTGCGTAATGTTATTGTATAAAGGGAGTGTTATTTCCTATTATTAAGCATCTGCTTAAGATGCTTGGGGGAGAATATAAAAGTCATTTAAGAAATATTTGTTGAGGAAATAAATGAATAAATAAATTAGATAAGAATAGCACCTGGTCTCAAAGAATCATCAAGCTAATAAGATCTTCTATCGAGCTTATAAAAAACAAAGTTCTACCAAGAAGCTGGCAGGACTCTGTAGTCTTTCATGATTTCCAAATCGTGGAACCACCATCCACCTCTGCATTCCTGTTTGCAACTGAGGGTTCCACCAACCCCAGAGGGGAAGAAAAATCACAATACAACAATAAAAAAAACCCAATAAAATACCGTGTAAACAGTATTTACACCGCATTGCATAGTTCGAGGTATCCCAAGTCCTCTAGAGAGGATGCCCCATTCCAGGCGAGGCCCCGCCCCGTGGGTTCTGGCGTCGGGCGGGGGGGGGGGGTCTGGGGCGCCTCCCCTGGGGGTGTCACGAGGCCACCTGTGCGTCCACAGGGGCTTCTCGAGTTTGCCCCTCGCTGTCCCCACACCAGGGCAACATTGGGCCTTCAGACAGGTGTGTGCAAGATGAAAGATGAAATTCATTTTCCCATCTCCATAGCATCCGACAGACAATGCCGGCAAAACCCAGCCTGGTAAAGAGGGAGAGAAGGAACCAGGCTTTGGCAAGAGAGGCGCCGTGGTTTCCCCAGAGAACACAGTGGAAGACTTCCGAAGGGCCAGGTTCCTCCTCAGGGCGGAGGGGGCGGCGCTGACCGGGCTGAGACCGGGCTTGGAAGGAGCAGGTGGGGCTGGAGGCCCTGCAGGGTCTCGGCTGGGTCCGCAGTTTTAAATCAGAACGGGAGCTCCGGGCCTGTCATCGTCCTCATGGTAAGAGGCCTGGAACCCGAGGCCAGGAGGCTGGGAGGGAGCCTGGGGAGGCTAAAGTGAGCCCAGCCTGCCCGGGGTCTGCACTGGGGCCTCACTGCCCGGTCTCCTCTCCTCCTGACAATCAGGGGCGTTGATTAGCAGAAAACCCAGTTAGAGATGGTGCTGGTGGCAAATATGAAAAATGGCACAGTTGTCCGTCCCTTGATGTCCCTGGGGGACGCGTCCCAGAACCTCGAATATGGGACCAGTCCCCACACTCAGTCCCTGCAGCCAGGAGGACCTGCCATGTGCAAACTACTGGCTTAATAAATGTACCCATGTAGTTTAAACCTGCATTCCTCAAGGGTCCACTGTAATTACAGTTACCGCTCAACTAAACAAGTTAAAATTTTATGGACGTATGTAAAAAGTCGCTTAAAGAAAGATAAAATCATGTTAAAATACAGTGAAGGCTGAGCATAGGCCCAAAATAATTGAAATCAGGATATCGAAGAAGCACCTACACCCCCATGTTCACAGCAACTTTGTTCACAAAAGCCAAAAGGCACACACCACCTACGTGTCTATCCAGGGCGGAATGAACCCACACAACGTGATCCGTCCTACAGTGGAATATTCAGCTTTGGACAAGGAAGGAAAATCTGACTCAGGCTATACCATGGATGAATCTTGGGGACATCATGCCCAGTAAAGACAATCACGTGTGAGTCTCACTCACAGGAGGTCCCTGGAGTCCACAGGTCCATAGAGACAGAAAGCAGGTGGGGGTGCCGGGGGCCGGGGCAGGGGAGTGAGCATTTCACGGGGACAGAGCTTCAGGTTGGGAGGATGAGAAAGTGCTGGAGACGGTCGGTGGTGAGGACTGCACAGAACATCGTGAATGTGCTTAGCCCTCTGGACCGTGCCCTTACAAATGGTTAAAATGGCACATTTTATGTTATTTATGTTTTACCTCAATTTTAAGAATACAGCAGAGGAGCCCACCATTCCGGGCAGGACTCGCTCCGCACTGCGGCTTTATTTGGGGATTTGGAAAGTTTCACTGTGGCTACTTGTTACGGGAGGAGGGTGTGGTGGGCATCTGGGGGGCATCTACATGGGCATCTGGGGGGCTCTTCGGGGCCCCCAGTTTCTCCGGAGGTGCCCTGATACTCTGCAGTCACAAGGATACAGATGTGTGGGTTTTTGTTTGGATCCTCCTTTTTGAATGGGAAGGAGGAATCCCAGAGCCAAAGTGAGTGTGGCTGACGTCACGCAGGCTCAGAACGCAACCCCAGCCTGTGCCTCAGACGCTGCAGGGAGGACCCTTGAGGCAGCTGCACCTGGAGTCCCTGCCCCAGCTTTGCCCACCACTGTGGCCACACGCAGAGCCCTCCTCAGGAAAGAGCCCCGTGCTGCCTGCATGGCACACACGGCAGCGTTCCAGTGTGCCGGCTCGTGCCACGACCCTTCCGGACTTTCCGTGGTCCACGGTAGCATGGTAGACAGCACTCCCTTCATCCCACGAAAGGCGTCTGTCCCTTAATTTGAGAAGACATCACTCTTTTCTAAGTGCCACTAACCCATTCGAGGTGCCCCAGTCCCCCACTTTCCACTCAGACTCCCATGTGGGACGGTCGTGGCTGTGGGGTGTCCCTGTGTCTCCGGGGTGACTTGGGCCTCCAGAGAACCCCTGGCACAACCTCCAGCTGAAAACAGGAACAAAGAAAGTGAGCTTAACATTCCGGCTGTTTCAGACAATGTGTTTCTCTTTGTGGGGGCAAGGAGGGCAGGGAGACACCTGAAACCATTTTTATTCATCAGCTCAAGTTGGTGGGTGGCAGGGTCATGTTGAGGGAAAAAAGCCAAACTCTGTAAAATATTTAGAGAGGTTTCTTCTGAGCCAAATATGAGTGGTCAAGGCCCGAGGCACAGTCTCAAGAGGTCCTGAGAACATGCGCCCAGGTTGGCTTCAGACATTTAGGGGGACAAAAGTTACAGGCAGACGCCAATCAGTACATGTGAGGTGTGCGTGGGGTTGGTCTGGAATGGTGGGATGACTCAGTGGAGGCCTCCAGGTCACAGGTGTATTTGAGAGTTTTCTGATTGGCAATTGGTTGAAAGAGTTAAGTTATTATCTAAAGACGTGGAATCACCAGAAAGGAGTGTCTTGGTGAAGGGGTTTGGAGACCAAGGTTCTTATGTAGATGAAGTCTCATAGGTGGCCACCCTTGGAGACAATAGATGGCAACTGTTTCCTCTTTAGACCTTTAGAAGGTGCTAGACTCTCAGCCAATCTCTTCAGCGTCAGAAAAAGGCCTGGAAAGGGAAGAGGATTCTCTACAGAATGTACATGTCTCCCACAAGAGACAGCTTTGGAGGGCCGTTAGAAAATATGCCAAATAAATATATTTTGGAGTAAAATATTTGGATACTTCCAGGGCCTGCCCCCGGTCATGTGATGCTATACTAGAGTCAGGTGGGAATTTGGTATCTTATATTGCTACCAACAGCCTGTTTGTCAGCCTTAAGATCTCTGTTTTAAAGTTCATACTGGTCAGTTGTGCCTGAATTCCAGAGGGAGGAGGGTAGAATGGGGCATCTCCAGCCCCCCACTCCCTCACCAGCCTGTGCTTTGGACACTGCAGGGATGACCCTTGAGGCAGCCGCACGTGGCCTGACCTCGTTTTTCAGGTTTCTTTGAAATCCCCTTGACAGAGAGGGGGTCCATTCAGTCGGTTGGGGGCTTAGAAGTTTATTTTTGGTTTACAGTCGGGACAGCAGACACCAGCGTGGCAGAGCTGGGTTCTCCTCCTGGGGGCCCAGGCCGTGAGGAGCAGCCGGCCAAACTTCCTTCAGGCAAAACACATGCTTTTTTCTTTTTTTCCTTTTTTTTGGCATCAAACTTACCAAGAAATATCTCTACCCAACTTTACTGAAACTTTAAAGCTTGTAAAAACTTTTAGGTCAAAGTCCCTTATTTACAGTCCAGACGTTGGCAAGTTTCGCTGGGGCACAGATGCCGGCGAGTGGAAGCGGAGCTGAGCCAAACTTTCTCGTCTTAAATCAAAGACGAACATTGAAAACATCTTGGGCTCTAGGCAGAGCCCAGCCCCAGCGCCGCCGCGTCTGGACAGGAGCTTCGGACGCACGGCAGGGCCCGGGGACCTCCAGGGAAGCCTCGGTCCAGGGCCTTCGAAGGCTCGGCTTGCTCAGAGCCAGGGCGACGGCTCCGAGCTGCTCTACGTGGGCCGCACAGTTTATTCCCATTCGGGACTGGACCCCGGGTCCCTGACGGGGGTTCTCCTGGGGGAACCTCACTTCCAGGTCCTCACTGACGTCCGCCGGAGTCACCGCTACTGCCCTGGGCACGGCCAGCCCCGGGTTTCCACGTGGCCAAGGCCCCACCCGGCGCGGACCCCGGCGCTGGGACCACGCAGCTGCCCAGGCCCCGGGCGCTCCGAGCGGGCAGCGCCTCCTCCCACCTGGAACCCACCAGGCCAAGCTCCCCGTGAGCGGTTCGGAGCGCATCGTCCCCTCCCGGAGTGGAAAGGCCCCCGGGAGCGGCTCCTTCTGCCCGCGGATGGCGAGCGCGCCGGTGACATTTCACAGCAGATTCGAACCCGCGGAGCCTTCCCGGGCGGAGAGCAGGGCCCGAGGCTGCACCGCTCCGGGCTGAGGCAGGAGCGCCCCGCATCGGCTCGAGGGCCCCGCGCCGTCTCCCTGCGTTCGTGGGCGCTCCCCGGGGGCCTCGTTCTTCTGCGTGGGACAAATTCCTGCGGGAGCAGGAGTCCTTCCCGGAGGCGCCCCCAGGCCGCCCATGAGCGCTGAGCCGCCGGCCTCGGGTGGGGGAGGCTCCCTGGACGGGGCGGCAGGGCTGGGGTTGCTCTTCCCTCCCCGCCCACTCGTGTCCGCGCGTGGCGCCCCGGGCCCAGGCCGTGCCTCGGCAGAGTCCCCCTGAGACCTGGGCGGCGCCTCCCGAGTCCCCGACAGGCCCAGGCCCGGGTGGCCGTGGGACGCGCCATGGGCGCGCAGCTCCGCAGCCGAGAGCCGGAGGGTCCCGCCGGGTCCCCGAGGCCCCAAGTCCTCTCGCGGCGCAGGCGGACCCAGAGGCAGCCCCTGGCCGGGGTCTCGAGCGCGCAAAGTCGGAGCTGATGCGGGTGCTGGTGCCTCACTGGGGTGGGCCTGAGGCCGCCCCTTCAAATTACAGCCGTGGCCACAGAGCGCGGCCTCCCCTGGACTCACCGCGGGCCAGGGCGGGCGGCGGCTTCCAGCGCGGGAGGAGGGCGGAGCTGGGCCGGGAGATGCCCGCGCCCCGAAGGCGCAGCAAGGCCGGGCTCTGCACCTGCCTTAGGAAGGAAACGGACCCTAAAGACAGAGAGAGACGGGATTTTAAAATGCAGCATTTCAGAAGATGTAACCCTTTATTAAGACCATTTCACCCCTTGTAGATGTTGGCGTGTTCTAGGTAAATGTCTTTCCCCAAAGGGACTTCGTCCCTCGGAGGCCTGGCCGGGCACCCGGAGCGGCTCTGCAGGTGCGGAGGGTCCGTGTGGAGGCCGCGTCACTCGGAGCAGGCTGTGGGCTATTGGTTTGTTCATTTAGATTTCGGATTTTTTAGTGGTGGATTCCCATTTATTTTAAATTTCAGATGGCTTTTCTGATGTTTCCGAGGAGTTTATAACAGCTCTTTGGGCCTCCTCATGCTGTTTATTTTCTTGTAAATTTGTCTGAGTTCATTGTAGATTCTGGATATTAGCCCTTTGTCAGATGAGTAGGTTGCGAAAATTTTCTCCCATTCTGTAGGCTGCCTGTTCACTCTGATGGCAGTTTCTTTAGCTGTGCAGAAGCTCTTTAGTTTAATTAGATCCCATTTGTCGATTTTGGCTTTTGTTGCCATTGCTTTTGGTGTTTTAGACATGAAGTCCTTGCCCATGCCTATGTCCTGAATGGTAATGCCTAGGTTTTCTTCTAGGGCTTTTATGGTTTTAGGTCTAACGTTTAAGTCTTTAATCCATCTTGAATTAATTTTTGTATAAGGTGTAAGGAAGGGATCCAGTTTCAGCTTTCTACATATGGCTAGCCAGTTTTCCCAGCACCATTTATTAAATAGGGAATCCTTTCCCCATTGCTTGTTTTTCTCAGGTTTGTCAAAGATCAGATAGTTGTAGATATGCGGCATTATTTCTGAGGGCTCTATTCTGTTCCATTGATCTATATCTCTGTTTTGGTACCAGTACCATGCTGTTTTGGTTACTGTAGCCTTGTAGTATAGTTTGAAGTCAGGTAGCGTGATGCCTCCAGCTTTGTTCTTTTGGCTTAGGGTTGACTTGGTGATGTGGGCTCTTTTTTGGTTCCATATGAACTTTAAAATAGTTTTTTCCAATTCTGTGAAGAAAGTCATTGGTAGCTTGATGGGGGTGGCATTGCACACGTATGTTTATGGCGGCACTATTCACAATACCAAAGACTTGGAACCAACCTAAATGTCCAACAATGATAGACTGGATTAAGAAAATGTGGCACATATACACCATGGAATACTATGCAGCCATAAAAAATGATGAGTTCATGTCCTTTGTAGGGATGTGGATGAAACTGGAAATCATCATTCTCGGTAAACTATTGCAAGGACAAAAAACCAAACACCGCGTGTTCTCACTCATAGATGGGAATTGAACAATAAGAACACATGGACACAGGAAGGGGAACATCACACTCTGGGGACTGTTGTGGGGTGGGGGGGAGGGGGGAGGGATAGCATTAGGAGATATACCTAATGTAAATGACGAGTTAATGGGTGCAGCACACCAGCATGGCACATGTATACATATGTAACTAACCTGCACATTGTGCACATGTACCCTAAAACTTAAAGTATAATAATAAAAAAAAAAGGAGATAAGGTTAAAAAAATAAAAAAAATAATAATCAAAACGCTTCTTCTCTCAAGGAATGTACAGTTTAGGGAAGAGGCAAAAATAAGTAAATATTCCAATAAGTATTGGGGGAAGGGCACAGAGAGCCAAAAAAGACCACAGGAAAAGGGATGTCTAGGATGTGTGGGGGGGTCACGGAGGGACCCAGAAGACAGAGCGTTTCAGAGCAGGTGGGATGGCGTGGCTTGTTAGTGAATGCCAGCAGAGCATTGGTGGTGTTTGCTGTTTATTTTCAACATCTTTTAAAATACAAGGGTAAACTAGCATTGAATTTAATTTGCCTTAGTTTCTTACCAGTTCCAAGCTAAAATATTATTACAAAATCCACGACCCCATTGAAACATGCGCTTGTGCTTTAGAGTATGAAAACATTGTGACGTGTGATGTGGGGACCGACGGGGCCGTCAGTGATGGCGCAGTTGAGAGGCTGTGACGTGTGATGCGGGGACCGACGGGGCCATCAGTGATGGCGCAGTTGAGAGGCTGTTCCCGGGGAGTGATCAGGAGCCACTGTCTCGGCCGCTGTCTCTTCATTCTCATCCCATTCCCCGAGGCCCTAAGGAACGGCGGGATTTGGATTTGATTGAGTAGCTCCATCCCTGTCGCGGAGCACAGGGGACAGCACCGCGGAGCCTCCACTCTCTGTGGATGTTTCGCCAGGGTTTGCAAGGAGGAGTAAAACTTGTCCTGGCCGCTCAGGTGTCTCTCCCAGGTTAAGACAGGCGCTGGTCACTGTGCCTTGTCTGCTGAGGGCATAGCCAGGAGTGTGACCGTCCAGGGATGGGGTGTGCGCTGGTGCCATGCACGGCAGAGTGGCCATGCTGAGACACCGTCTGGGAAGGAAAGCTCACTTTCTGGGAAGGAAAGCTCGCTGACTCAATGAGGAAGCACCAGCTGTGAGGCCTGAGTGAGCAGCACAGACACTAGGCATGTTCCTAACACTTGGGGTGTTCCTAACACTTGGGGTGTTCCTAATGGGACTGGACAAGTGTGGATGCCGTGGCTGGGACCCTAGTGCAACAGAAAGGGGGCAGGGGCCCGGTGGGCCTTCCTCTGCATGGGCTTCATTCTCACTGGAGGACAGGAGGGGGCAGCTGGGTGGCCCAGGGAACAAAGCCCAGCTGACTGTATCCAGGAGCTGTCCAGGAACCACGGTCCCACCAGGGAGGGAGACAGACAGTGAGCCACACGTGAGTCATCGGGTCACGGGCTGTGGAAGAAACTGGCCAGGAGTCCGTGGCTGGGGGCAAGGCAGCAGGGAGAAGCTCACTGAGAAAGTGACTTTGGGGGAGGGGCACATGGTACATTTGGACCACCAAGGTGGGGAAGCTGGGCTGGAGTTGGGGGCACAGTGGGGGCGAGGATGCTGGCCCAGGGATGAGGGTGGGTGTGCCAGTGTTCTGCCCAGGCCTGCTGGGGAAAATGTCTTCTCAATCCTTCTCTGCCAGCCACTAAGGAGCTCTCCAGGAGACATGGCTCCAGGAGATACTCACCCTGCCTGCTGGGCCCCTCGCTGCATCCCCAGGGCCATGGGATGACCCGGGGCTAAGGGTCAATATGCTTGAAGGTCCATCCAGCAGAAAGGAAGCTCCTGGAACCTCGGACTGAACTGTAGGGCATTGCCTGGGGGGCAGGTTTTTCCCTTGGGGTCACTGGGAGTGCTGTGCAGGCTCCTTCCAAAGGGGACCCACTGGAGAGGGCTCTGTGCCCCTATCATCCTCCTCTAGCTGGGGATGCACACAGCCCAGCGAGATCGAGGGCAGCTGCCAGCAGGGCTGACCAACATAGGCCAGGGGATGTGAGGCCACAGTTCACCACCACTATCACCATCATCACCACCATTATCATCAGTATAACTATCACCACCACCATCACCATCACCACCACCACCACATCATCATCACTATCACCACAATCATCACCATTCTCATCACTATCACCACCACCACCATCACCACCATCATCACCATCACCACCACCATCACCACCATCACCACCACCATTATCACCACCACCATCACCACCATCATCACCATCACCACCATCATCACCGTCACCACCACCATCACCACCACCATCACCACCATCACCACCACCACCACTGCCATCATCACCACCATCACCACCACCATCATCACCACCACCATCATCACCGTCACCATCACCATCATCAGCACCATCATCAGCACCATCATCACCACCACCACCACCATCACCACCGTCATCACCACCACCACCATCACCACCACCACCATCAGCAGCACCATCACCACCACCGCCATCATCACCACCATCATCACCATCACAACCACCATCACCACTGCCATCACCACCATCACCACCACCATTATCACCACCACCATCACCACCATCATCACCGTCACCACCACTGTCAACACCATCACCACCATCGTCACCACCATCACCACCATCATCACCGTCACCACCACCATCACCACCACCACCAACAAAATAAATCAGAGAAGAGTTGTTTAAATTAACTTATATAATTTAAGACCTGTACCCAAATGTATTACAGATGAATTAAAAGTTAAAAATTTTGAATTGAATTATAAAACAACTAGAGGAAATTAAAATGAATGCTTTTTCTTTCCTGGGGATGGAGAAAAGCTTTCTAAACATGGAAAAAGAAAGAAAAAAACAAAGCAAAGGCAAGAAGTCAGAGAACAGCATAAACAAATTTCAAAACTGCAATAAAAACCTGCAAAAAATATTATAAAATATATTAAATCAAAGTTTACTAGTATTCATATATCAGTCAGGAAAGACTGACAATCTTATTAATAAAAATGGACAAAAATAGAACTTGAAACTTTATTTAGAAGAGCCCTAAATGCTCCACTTCAACAATAATCCCAGAGCTGCAGATGACAGCAGCAGTGAAGTCCCGTTCTTGCCTGGAGTGCTGGGTGAGGAGGGCGGCCACGGGCGAGGGATCCTCGTGGGTGCGTCTCGGCCAGGCCACGGGGCAGCGTGAATCCCAATGCTAACCACTGCATCCTGCTGCCATCCTAGGGCTCCTTCTAAGGGATGATCAGAGACAATGACAGAGGCTCACAAGTGAGGCTTTCACTGCAGTGTTACGATCATCACAAGTGCCATAGGCATCCAACAAGAGGGAAGAGCCCCCGGACGGTAGCCGAGCCACGTCACAGAAGCACCAGCCCTTGAAAGTCGTATTTTCAAAGAATGTGCAGTGCCATGGGGTGCACACTGTGACTTTAAGTGAAGGGGCTGACATACAACTGTACATATAGCAGGTGTGATTATTCGTGCAAAATCACTATAATACTAAGAGCTGACACTTTGTTAAGCATCCGTGTAAGCCCTGGGTAGGCTTGTCATGTAGGATTTCACAACCAGCCACGGGGTAGCCCTCACCTCTACGTGACACACGTGGAGAGGTTCACTCACTTGCTCAACTCTCTGCTATTTGGTGGCCAGATTCCGACCCAAGCAGCCTGACTTTAGTAGTTTTCAACACAACTTTATCCTGTCTCCCTGTGTACATACACACACTCACCCACACACACACACACAAAGTCATGCCCACACGTGGAAGGAAATCCACAAAAATGGTAACATGAGTTACCTCTGGTAGTGATGCTGTGAATGACTTCTAGTTTCTTTCTTTTATTTTGTCATACTTTCCACATTTGTATAAGAGCATGGCTTATTTTTCTGAGGGGAAAACCACATTTTAGCACAGACCTGAGGAAGAGCTTTTGGTTGGGTATGAAGACTCCTGAACCTCCCTGCGTGTCTGGGTGGCTTTCCAGCTTCGAGACTCATCTCAGGGAGCCCCTAGGTTTCCCCTTGACTTTTTCTTGGTCAGCACTTGGGTTTAAACATTCAGCTGGCCACCAACGGGCTTCCTGAGAGGGGAACAGAAGGCCCGATGGGAGATAAGAGGTCTTGGCTCACCTCGCCAGCCTCACAGTCTACATCCTGTGGGCCCAGCACTCACCTGTCCACAGACCGCCACGGTCTCTCAGCCACAGACCAGGCCCTGCAGCCAGCAAGCCACATCCGACACCTCCCAGGCCCTACAGGCCCTGGAGCAGGGCTCGGCCGCCCAGTGCATGTAGGGCACCAGGCCGTGTGGTTTGCAGTTGACCTTATTACCACTCTGAGACAGGCTGCCATTCTGGGTACTCAGTTATTTCTTAATTTTGTGTTCAGTTTTGAAGGGCATGGACATCATTCAAAACAAGTTTTTTCTTTTTTTTCCTAAAATGGCTTTAACTCAACGTTGTCTTGCATGAAAACTCACAAGCAGAGGCTTTACCTAAGGGAATCCTTAAAAGAAAGAATGCATGGACCGGCCTGGCCAGATTGGCTCCAACCATCGGAGCCAATGGTAGGAGGACACGCAGCCCCACCACCATCATTCATCCCACCGAGCACAGGTGCGGATGCACACGCACACACACATACACACACGCACACACACAGACACACGCACACACATACAGACACGCACACACATACAGACACACACACACACACACACGCAGCCCCACCACCATCGTTCATCCCACCGAGCACAGGTGCAGACCCACCCACACACATACAGACACACACGCACACACACAGCCCCACTGCCATCATTCATTGCACCGCAGGCACCGAGCACAGGTGCAGACGCACACACACACACACATACAGACACGCACAGATGCAGCCCCACCACCATCATTCATCCCACCGAGCACAGGTGCAGACGCACACGCACACACACATACAGACACACACGCACACACACAGACACACACGCACACGCGCAGCCCCACCTCCATCGTTCATCCCACCGAGCACAGGTGCAGACGCACACACACACATGCACGGACACACACACAGACACACACGCAGCCCCACCGCCATCATTCATTGCACCGCAGGCACTGAGCACAGGTGCAGACACACACACAAGCACACACATGCACAGGGCACACACACAGGCACAGACACGCACGCAGGTACACACACACGCACACAGCAACTACGTGACTGATGGTTCCCCGCGGATACAAACCTCTCTGAAAAATCACTGGCAAGAAATAATAACCCAGACCCGGCTGGAGTTCCCAGCTTGCCTGGAATAAGGTCTGTGACTCACAGCCAGAACTGTGAGGCTGTGGTGCCGTCGGGAGTCAGGATCTCAGGCCCTCGCTGTGGTTTTGATGGGTTTTAAACCACACTTCCCTCTGCTTCTGGGACACTTTTTATTTTCTGTGAGGCTAAGGCACTGGCCTCGCCTTGCACAAGGGGAAATTGAGGCCCAGAATCAGCAAGTGTTTTTGCGACTCACTGAAGGAGCCGCTGTAGAATGGAGTGGTCGATGGCCAGGATCCGCCCCAGCGCCAGTGCCGACCGAGTTTCAGTGTGAACGGCCTGCCCAGAACGCTGACGCCGCGAGTGTAATTAGGCTGTGAGCAGGCATTAGTTCCAGTTTGCACGTGCGTCTCATGTGGGGTGCAGATTCATGGACGGTCCCTCTGCTCACCAGGTGCCCGCGTCAGCCTGGACAGCATTCTGGTTTCATTTTCAGAAACTCTCAGCCTCCTTCCGGCTCCCTAACACGGCGCCAATAGCAGGAGGAGGCTCTCAGAGACGCAGCATCACCAACATGGTGCTCTTCCTGAAAAGACCTCAGGGGTGATGAAGACTTGAAATTCATAGACTGGGTTTCTACAACCCAACCAGCCTCTTCTCTTCCCTAGGAGACACATGCAAAAATAATAATGGGGGTACCAATTTCGGGCGAAGTTTCCCGAACAACGAACAATAGCCCTTGCTGGGACTCTCGCCTCGGGGGCTGCTGCCATCAGGAAACCCGTCTTTCTCTGTTGGAGGCTGGTCCTTTTCAGGGTCAGTTTGTACTTGGATGTGTTTATTTTTATTTTTATTAAGGCTTGTTCTGCAAACAGCAGTCCTTAACCCTGTACTGCACTTTTCATCTTTCCAGACCATTCATTCCCAAATTTCTAAACTGATCTTCTCAGCTTTCACCTCCAGTCTCTGTGTAACTAGCTGCTATTGCTACCTCTGGGCAGGTTAATCTGGGGCATTGTCTGTCACCTCCCACAATAGATCAGCTCCCTTCCCACGCCTCCCGTCCCCGCCACCTTTCCACTGACAATGTGGAGAGCAAATATTGATCGGCCAGGACTGCGATGAACACACACAGCAGCACCACTGAGCCCGTCACAAACGATGATGGCTTTTCTTGCAGTTTTCTGTTTTCCTGAAATTAATAATTAGCTTTTTCCATCAACTTTATTTTCTGTGTATATACCAATGGAACCCCAAGTGTCTCAGTCTCCTCTTC
This sequence comes from Homo sapiens, assembly GCF_000001405.40. Classification (NCBI taxonomy): domain Eukaryota; kingdom Metazoa; phylum Chordata; class Mammalia; order Primates; family Hominidae; genus Homo; species Homo sapiens. The sequence continues at coordinate 72,233 of NT_187617.1, read as the reverse complement.
AGTTGTCTTATCTTGGGCGCTTGTTAATTTTGGCTTCCTGGTGATGTCTCTCCCACGACTAACTCACTTTGTTCTGGAGAGGTGTCCGGATCCTGTCCCACAGGAGTGATGCTGACAGGCCCCTTGCTCTGGGGGTCCCTCTGTTGTGGCCCCTGCCTGGGGCTTCCCTGCACTCGATGGTCAGTCTGGTGGGGGCGACGTGTCCGGGAGGCTGGGATCATGCCCTCGTCTGGGCTCCCCGAGGTGCCCTTGAAATGCCGGACACTGTTCTCTGGGCCCCTCTTGGTCTCTGGAAGGTGCAGGACCCTCCCCTTCTACGGAGTTGCTGCCCGGGTGTGGTCCCCCGTGCCATGTGGCCACCAGTTCTTCCTGAGCGAGGACCTGTGTCCTTCATCCCTCAAGGCTGTCCTTGTGCTGCTGGTTGTGGTTTCTCCCTTTCTGTCGTATCTGCTCCCCACTCCGGAATGCCGATCCCTGCAAGGTGGCCTCGACTGGTCCTCCAGCCTCTCCTTCCATCCCAGCTTTGATCTTTGTCTTCAGGCTCCAATTCCCGGCACCTTCACACCTCGGCCCTTTTGCCAATTTCCTTCTTTTCTGTGATGGTTCCGTTGTGGGGATCGTGGGTCTGTCTGTGCTCCCTGTGGAGAGTGTGGGTTCTGTCCACAGCTCATGATGGTGATGCCCCTCCAGGGTGACCGTCTGCGACGCTACGCTCTTCTCCCCGTACGGCTTCCGTTCACTTCCACATGATTTTGCTTTGTGTTTATTTCACGCTGGAGAGTTTGCCCGGGTGTTTCGACAGATCTGTGTGTCTGCTTGTATTCTGGGGCTTCCTTTTCAGCAGGTCGGATTCCCTGGAGGAGAGGCTGTCCTGCTTGGGAGCACGCGGGGAAGGAGGCTGGCCTGGCGTTGGGGCAGAGGGACTCCCTCCAGAGCTCATGGCTGCCCAGGCCCAGGGGTCGCTTCAGTCTCTGTAGAGACGAGACAGGAAGGGGAGGTGGCCCCAGGAGGCAGGGGCAGGGAAGGGTCCTTAGCCTGCGCAGGCCCCTCTCCACCTCCAGCCCTCCCCCCGGCATCATCCTCGGCCCGCAGTCCTGGGGGCTTTGGGGTTCGGGATCTAAATCAGGGTGCCCTGTCCCCACTGCTGTGTCAGAGTCGTTTCTGGGGTCCACAGAGATGCTGGCCCCAGGTGCCTCCACTTTGCAGGCGTCTCCACCTCGTTCCCCTTGTGTGAGCTGCTTTTTGTTTTACAAAATCTCTTTACTGTACTTGAAGCTCAGGAGAGAACAGAAGTAACCGTGTTTTCTCCGCGTCGTAACCAACAGAGCTGGTTCTAAGAGTGTCTTTACAACACCTGACCCAGACGACGGATGAAAACAACAGGGTCTGCCCTCATCCTCACCGGGTTCTGGAACGTTCCCTTGGCCCAAATGCCTCCTCCCTTGCCTCCCCAGGTTCCCTGGGCCTGAAGTGTCCCCGGGGCTGTCACCTCTTCTGTGACGCCTTCCCTACTGCTTCAGACACACTTACTCGTGCCTTTCACCCCCACAACACCCAGGAGTCCTGTCAGCAAGGACCCCTGGCGGGCGCTGGGCAGCTCTGCCCATGTGGGTTCATCTACACAAGCCCTCCAGTGGCACTAAAGTCAGTGGAGCCCAGTTGCTCTCCAGGCTGTTGGAGACAGGGTGGTGGATTTGTGTGTTTAACTTGAGTTGAGGGTGCTTCTAGCGTGGAAAACACCTTGATGACCTTCTCACTGCGATTTTCCACCCAGCCGTGCTGCCCTTGGAATCACAGAGCCCCATATCAGGCCCCATGAAAGCGCCCCGCCTGAGTCTCGGGCAGGACTCATTGCAGGGAGCGCCACGGTCTGAGACACGGTGAGCGTGCAGGGAAGACACAGCGCGGCCCCACTACAGTCAGGACGCCCTCGGCCTCCAACCACGTTCTCCAGGAGCAGGCAGATATGCGCTCAATGCCTGTGCCTCACCTGTGAGAATTCCAGATCCTGATCGACCTTCCTCCACCCCAGCAGAGTGGTGGACGCAGCCCGTACCAGCTCGCAGCCCTGTCCATGTCACCTCGCAGCCCACTCTTGAGGCTGGGGGCTTGCCCATGGGAGCCATCCCTGTAGACGTTGGTTCCCCAGCCCTTTCGACACCGGGTGGCCGTGTAGAAACCTGGGGGAGCTGTGCCTCCCCTCGTGGACCTGGCTCGGGGCTCGCCTGTGCTTCTTCTCCCCACTCTGCCCCCTCCTCGCCTGCAGCCCTGTTCCTGGGGAGTGACTGGTCGGGCCCCTCTGCTCCTGAAGCGTGAGCCCTTCCTCCTCGGCGGGCCAGGCCAGTGTTACCTGACTTGAACCCCAGCTTGCTCGCTAGCCCCGGGCTGACTCACTTCAAGCTGAAGAGAGCAGGCTCTGGCCCTGATTTGGGAGTCGGGCAGGAAGACTGACACCTGCTTATTTGGATGTGACAAACGGGCGTCTCTGTGCTTGCTGCTCTCAAATCAAGTGTGCCTGAGTTCCTGCAGCGCCTCTGCAGGGCCAGCTGGGCGCAGTGGCCCGGTGATGTGTCCGGCGGCCTCCCTCGTGAGGGTGGGACGTCCACTCCGCCGTCTGTCCATCAGAGTCCTTAAACACAGGCTGCTCTCGGTGCAGATTCTGGAGGTGGGTGGAGAGCTCTGGAGGAAGCGAGATCGGTTAGACTGAACGCTCGGACAGCGGCTCTGCCCCACGGCAGTGGCGTGGGCTGGGGGCAGCAGCTGCAGCGTGGGCGTTCTCTGATTCCTATTGATCTGTTTCAGATTCTGTGCTGATCTTCTGCAATTAACAAGTTAGTGTAAAAAACATTACTTCTACAGAACGTTGCAAAATCTCTCCCCAAATCCCTGTACCTGGGGGCTTTATCCACCTGGAAATGACTCTGGTAAGTTGGGGTTGCCAGACTCTAAAGCAGCCGATTTGTTAATTGATTAAAATCTGGCCTAGTTCCAGAACAGATTGCAAATAGATCACATAGAATAAAATGCATAAAATAAAATAAAACCAGAAAGTGGGATGGAGGTTTGAAGCAAGGGGAAATGTCATCCACGGGTTTGCAGCGTGTGTGGCTGGGCTGAGAGCCGGGGCCTGAGTGGCAGGGAGGAGGGTGGCCGGCGTTGCCCTGCTTAGAGAAGGGCTGTGCTTTGCTGCAGCAGAAATTGCTTGTGTGGGACGCACGCAGAGTGGCTTATGTTCCAAAACGCCCCGGCAGCCGTCCCACCAGCCCTTCCTGCAGGAGCCGAGTTCCCCTCTGGGCAGCACCCTGTACGTGTCTCTGTTCTCGCTGAAGCTTTTCCTCAGTGGCATGCGGGCCGCTGTGTTGTCAGGGGCAGGCCCCTGTCACTCAGACATGAAGTGGACAGGCCCCTTTCTAGACACGGAGGCAGCTGGACAGGACATGGAGTGGATCTTCTTTGCATTTTGCAGTGAGGGCGTTGCAAGAGCAGCCTGCAGATGCAGCCGGCGATGAGCCCCTCCAGAGGCAAGTGTGGCTCGGCCTCAGCACCGAATGGAACCTTGAGGCTCTTCCCGTGGAGCCCGGCAGGCGGATCAGGAGCCCCGTGCCCGATCAGCTCTTTGGACATCTAGAAAAAGTCTGTCTACAGAAAACCCCATCACTACAAACTTTAATCTGCTTGGAATTTGCATCTTACAGGCTTCCAAATTAACTTTCCAAAATGGTTTCTATTCCAGGGATCAAATCAGCCATTCTCTTGCCCGTGGTTTGAAATGTGGCCTGGGCCACGTGCCCCTAATCTCCAGGTGTCTCTGGGCTGCCTCCACTGTGGCTCTTTCCGTCCATCTGCTCTCAAGCTGCTCCCACACTCCTTCCAGGACTGTGCCTTTCTACGTCTTTGACTGTGTCCGTAGCACAAACTCTCCTTTCTTTCATCTTGTTTTACTTTTCTTATTACTTATCCAAGAAATAAAAATTGATGTTTTCAAGTTCCAATGCAAAGGAATAAACACACTCAAGTTTTAATCATCGTCTCCCAGCTGTGGACAGAAATGTGACCTGGGAATTAATCACTCACGGAGCCGGCCTGACCCGTCAGCGGCAGGAGGGCTGCTCCCCAGTCTCCCCGGCCGCATGGCCCTGCACCTGCAAAGCTTTCCACAAGAATACGGAAGGAGGAACTTCCGGTTTTTCTTTGAAAGAGGAAGCTTGGATCAATCATGGGTATTTTCAGTGAGTTTATTATTTCTGCTTTCCCCAGAAATAGCTCTGTGCTGCTGAGACATGCAAGCACTGCTGGCGGAACACTCAACACGGAAAGTCCCCGAAGCTCTGAGTCCCACGTTTGCAGTTAACAGCTCCTTAAAAAGCTAATGAGTGAAAATCTTCAAGACTAGCCATGGTTGGCCTCTTGAATTGGAGCTGCAACCCTCGTTTGCTCTCACAAGCATATTGTTGTCATTATTAAATAGTCTCTTACTGCAGAGAGGTAGGCTTTAAAAAGGAACCAGTCTCATAAAATTGACTTTTCTGTGGTGGATATAAAGTCCTAAATTAGTAGTCTTTATGCACAGAAAAATAAGTGCCGCAACAGTGGTGTCAGTGAAATTCCTCCTCGCAGGAACCTGCGAATAGCCAATCTTTACAAGCCATACAGCAGGACTTCCCTTAGAAGACACCATTCAGTGCTTCCTTTAGCCTAGGCAGGATTTTCAAGGTGTTAGGAAATTACACTATAACTTTCAACTTTCACTGAGCTGTATCAGTCAGATTGCTGACAATTCAAACTCACTTAAATAATAATGTAACAAAGGGGGTCTATTGGCTTCTGTAGCTGACATCCAGAAGAGAAGGCTTCAGCGATGGTTTGACCCAGCAGCTCAGTGATGTCACCAACCACGTGGTCTTGTTTTAATCTCCCTGTTCTGCATTATCTTGAGACTGGTTCTTCCTGACACCACAAAGTGGTTTCTGACAGTGCCTTGGGACCATGAAAGTGAGGGTCTCCTTGTCCAGGTGCCAGAAGCCAGAGCCTGGAGGCGAGTCAGACTGGGCTAGTGTTAGGCCACATCTCCAGCCCCAAGTGACCATTGAAGGTGGGGAAGACCATGTGCAGTGTGACACCCTGGAGCTGTGGCAGCGGCCAGCTTCACCAGGGCACAAAGCGTGGAGCGGGGTTAAATCTAAGCACTGTTCATATATTCAGGGAAAATCAATGTCTCCACCAGGACTAGAAAGATGTGAAAATACCTTTGAGCGGAGCTTATAAATAATGTATTACTTATCAATACCTTCCGTCTAAACGGCAGGGCCAATGACTTGTGGAAAATCATGTTGCAAATTCCATGGACTAAATCCATAAAGCCAGGCATGTAGCTCATCCTCCCCAAAAATCCCAGAAAATCTGGCCCTGAAATGTGGCCCAATGACTGTCATCAGCCCCAGGGTGTCCTGCAGTTCCTGCTTCCTACTGTATACACCTCGGCCCTGTGTCTGCAGGAGCCTATTACCTACTGCATACATCTTGGCCCCGTGTCTGCAGGAGCCCCTCTATTACCTACTGTATACACCTTGGCCCAGTGTCTGCAGGAGCCTATTACCTACTGTATACACCTCAGCCCCATGTCTGCAGGGGCCCCTCTATTACCTACTGTACACACCTCAGCCCCGTGTCTACAGGAGCCTATTACCTACTGTATACACCTCGGCCCCACGTCTGCAGGAGCCCCTCTATTACCTACTGTACACACCTCAGCCCCGTGTCTGCAGGAGCCTCTCTATTACCTACTGTACACAGCTCAGCCCGTGTCTGCAGGAGCCTCTCTATTACCTACTGTATACACCTCAGCCCCGTGTCTGCAGGAGCCCCTCTATTACCTACTGTATACACCTCAGCCCCGTGTCTGCAGGAGCCCCTCTATTACCTACTGTATACACCTCAGCCCCGTGTCTGCAGGAGCCCCTCTATTACCTACTGTATACACCTCAGCCCCGTGTCTGCAGGAGCCCCTCTATTACCTACTGTATACACCTCAGCCCCGTGTCTGCAGGAGCCCCTCTATTACCTACTGTATACACCTCAGCCCCGTGTCTGCTGGAGCCCCTCTATTACCTACTGTATACACCTCAGTCCCGTGTCTGCAGGAGCCCCTCTATTACCTACTGTATACACCTCAGCCCCGTGTCTGCAGGAGCCCCTCTATTACCTACTGTATATACCTCAGCCCCGTGTCTGCAGGAGCCTATTACCTACTGTATACACCTCAGCCCGGTGTCTGCAGGAGCCCCTCTATTACCTACTATATACACCTCAGCCCCACATCTGCAGGAGCCCCTCTATTACCTACTGTATACACCTCGGCCCCGTGTGTGCAGGAGCCCCTCTATTACCTACTATATACACCTTGGCCCAATATCTGCAGGAGCCTCTCTATTACCTACTGTATACACCTCAGCCCCACGTCTGCAGGAGCCCCTCTGTTACCTACTGTATATACCTCGGCCCCATGTCTGCAGGAGGAGCCTCTACCTCTCTGCATCTCTGCTTCACCTTTTTATTTTTTTTAATTCCTCTCCCTCCTTACGTCCGACCTCAGGCTGTCCAGAGCTATTTGCTATTGTCAAAGTGTTGGTGTCTGTGTCTTACCTTTTCTAGTTTTCCAGATTTAAAGTTGGAGGAAGGGACCCCTGAAGAAAATGACTTTTAATAACTTACATTGAAAGGGTGGGGTCTTCACACCAAACCGATGCTGGGTTCATTGCAGTAGAAGAAAATGACCTTTAATAAATTACATTGAAAGGGTGGGGTCTTCACACCAAACCAACGCTGGGTTCATTGCAGTAGAAGAAAATGACCTTTAATGAATTATATTGAAAGGGTGGGGTCTTCACACCAAACCAATGCTGGGTTCATTGCAGTAGAAGAAAATGACCTTTAATAAATTACATTGAATGGGTGGGGTCTTCACACCAAACCAACGCTGGGTTCATTGCAGCAGAAGAAAATGACCTTTAATAATCTACATTGAAAGGATGGGGTCTTCATGCCAAACCAACGCTGGGTTCATTGCAGTAGACGAGCCTGGGCTTGCCTGTTTCTGCGGAGTCTTGGACGGTGTCTGGCCATGTGTGAGTGGAAACCCACAGTCTATTCAGGCTCTCGGTTGTAGCTACGACACTGGGACAAGTGCAGGAGAACTGAGAGTCTATTCTCTGCTTCTCTGCCTTGTTAGGTGACTGGAGTGCTGTGAGGTCATAGGTTGCAGAGTTTCTTCACTTGTAAATACTAAACATAAATTGTGAAGTTTAAAGTTTTTTTAATGCAAATTTTGGTTGCCAACTTTTGCTTAATATAAAGTCTGTCTAAATTTATATGTAGAGGTATCTTTCAAAAAGAGATTTAAAATTTCTTCAATTTCTTTGTTCTGTTCACTTAGATGTGGGGATATGAAACTTTCTTAAATTGGGCCTCTCTAAGCAATGAAAACTAAGCAATTGCTCTGAAAGCAATGAAAATTTAACTAACAATGAGTATCAGCATGAGGGCATTTGCCTGCCGGCTGCGGGAGCCAGGCAGAGGATCCATGAGCCCACTAGTGAGGCATCCTGTGGCTTCTCATTCCTGCCTATTATTTTCGTGAAAATTACAGGTGGATTTGGGACTTTTCATCTGATTACATGCTACTGATAGATACAGTTGCACCTGCAAAGTCTCCTGAAATCATCTCCAGGGCAGGCGCAGGTCTTGTCAATTGCTAGGTATGCAGGATCTTGCTGGCAGCTGGAGCAGGGGTGCCCAGTTACATTCCCACTCACTGTATTGCTCCAGATAGGATTTTCCACATGACATGGATCCACATGGATCCCGTGCCGCCGTGACGTCTCCGTTGGAGGCTAATGGGGGCACTGAGCTGAACACTGGTTTACCCTCTGTCCTTCCCACTCGGTGACACGGAGCCCTTTATCACCATGATCCTAAACCAGGCCACACTTGTGAGGAACACGCTTGACCCCTGTGTGTGGCAGCAGGATGGTGGGGTGGACACGGGCCTCAGATGACCCCGGGATCAGAGGTCAGCCGGGGAGGCCAGCCCTGTGCTTCCAGCTGTGCTGTGCCTGCAGAACTGATGTCCCCGGTGTCCTGGTCTCCCCGGTGCCGCCATCCTAAGTCCCCACTGGAATTTGCCCTCAGAGGAGGGGATGGGCCTGGTGAGCAGGACTGGCTGATGTTGACAAGAGTCAGCAATAAATTATTTATTTCAACCCATTCAGGAAATCACTCTTCTCCAGTCAGCCCTTAATGACTTCCCTTCCACTGTCAAAGGCTGATGGGAATCAATGAGCCTAACTTTCTTTTTTTTTTTTTCTTTTCGTTATTATTTTTTTGTTTTTGAGACGGAGTCTTGCTCTTTCACCCAGGCTACAGTGCAATGGCGCGGTCTCGGCTCACTGCAACCTCCGCCTCCCGGGTTCAAGCAATTCTCCTGCCTCAGCCTCCCGAGTAGCTGGGACTACAGGTGCCCGCCACCACGCCCAGCTAATTTTTTGTATTTTTAGTAAAGACGGGGTTTCACCGTGTTGGCCAGGTTGTAGCAGCCTAACTTTCAAATCAACCTTGGCTTTAGTACTCAGCAAAGGTACCCACGTCTCTCAGATTGTTCACTCGTTCAGGGTACGTGTATTTAGAGAAAATCACAACTCACTGCGGAGCCAGCTGCAGGCTCAGGACACTTGGGGCGCGGATTTAGCAAGAGACGACCTTGCAGTGATGGTTGCAGGAGCGTGGACCTGGCGTCCCGGCGATGGGAAAGACCAAAAGGTTTTAACGGGATTGCTGTGCTCAGATTTGTAGGTTTCCTTTCTAACAGTTATTTCAAGTGTTTACCAAAATAACATACGAGCTTAAATAGGACTGTGACACTTGTAAGAAAAGCTGCAGTCCCCCTGCCCACCTCCACACACGCTCCAGCTGTCTCCATCTGTGTTTCTAAACAGTGTGCTCGCACTGACTGATTTCACACAGTGTCTGCTGTCATCCTGTTAGCATGTAAACAGTGTGCTCACAGTGACTGATTTCACACAGTGTCTGCTGTCATCCTGTTAGCATGTAAACAGTGTGCTCACACTGACTGATTTCACACAGTGTCTGCTGTCATCCTGTTGGCGTGTAAACAGTGTGCTCACACTGACTGATTTCACACAGTGTCTGCTGTCGTCCTGTTAGCGTGTAAACAGTGTGCTCACACTGACTGATTTCACACAGTGTCTGCTGTCGTCCTGTTAGCGTGTAAACAGTGTGCTCACACGGACTGATTTCACACAGTGTCTGCTGTCATCCTGTTAGCATGTAAACAGTGTGCTCACACTGACTGATTTCACACAATGTCTGCTGTCATCCTGTTAGCATGTAAACAGTGTGCTCACACGGACTGATTTCACACAGTGTCTGCTGTCATCCTGTTAGCATGTAAACAGTGTGCTCACACTGACTGATTTCACACAGTGTCTGCTGTCATCCTGTTAGCATGTAAACAGTGTGCTCACACTGACTGATTTCACACAGTGTCTGCTGTCATCCTGTTAGCATGTAAACAGTGTGCTCACACTGACTGATTTCACACAGTGTCTGCTGTCATCCTGTTAGCATGTAAACAGTGTGCTCACACTGACTGATTTCACACAGTGTCTGCTGTCATCCTGTTAGCATGTAAACAGTGTGCTCACACTGACTGATTTCACACAGTGTCTGCTGTCATCCTGTTAGCATGTAAACAGTGTGCTCACACTGACTGATTTCACACAGTGTCTGCTGTCTTCCTGTTAGCGTGTAAACAGTGTGCCTACACGGACTGATTTCACACAGTGTCTGCTGTCGTCCTGTTAGCACGTAAACAGTGTGCTCACACTGACTGATTTCACACAGTGTCTGCTGTCGTCCTGTTAGCGTGTAAACAGTGTGCTCACACTGACTGATTTCACACAGTGTCTGCTGTCATCCTGTTAGCATGTAAACAGTGTGCTCACACTGACTGATTTCACACAGTGTCTGCTGTCATCCTGTTAGCATGTAAACAGTGTGCTCACACTGACTGATTTCACACAGTGTCTGCTGTCGTCCTGTTAGCATGTAAACAGTGTGCTCACACTGACTGATTTCACACAGTGTCTGCTGTCATCCTGTTAGCATGTAAACAGTGTGCTCACACTGACTGATTTCACACAGTGTCTGCTGTCATCCTGTTAGCATGTAAACAGTGTGCTCACACTGACTGATTTCACACAGTGTCTGCTGTCATCCTGTTAGCATGTAAACAGTGTGCTCACACTGACTGATTTCACACAGTGTCTGCTGTCATCCTGTTAGCATGTAAACAGTGTGCTCACACTGACTGATTTCACACAGTGTCTGCTGTCATCCTGTTAGCATGTAAACAGTGTGCTCACACTGACTGATTTCACACAGTGTCTGCTGTCGTCCTGTTAGCATGTAAACAGTGTGCTCGCACTGACTGATTTCACACAGTGTCTGCTGTGATCCTGTTAGCGTGTAAAACAGTGTGCTCACACTGACTGATTTCACACAATGTCTGCTGTCATCCTGTTAGCGTGTAAACAGTGGGCTCACACTGACTGATTTCACACAATGTCTGCTGTCATCCTGTTAACATGTAAACAGTGTGCTCACACGGACTGATTTCACACAGTGTCTGCTGTCATCCTGTTAGCGTGTAAACAGTGTGCCTACACGGACTGATTTCACACAGTGTCTGCTGTGGTCCTGTTAGCACGTAAACAGTGTGCTCACACTGACTGATTTCACACAGTGTCTGCTGTCGTCCTGTTAGCGTGTAAACAGTGTGCTCACACTGACTGATTTCACACAGTGTCTGCTGTGATCCTGTTAGCATGTAAACAGTGTGCTCGCACTGACTGATTTCACACAGTGTCTGTCATCCTGTTAGCGTGTAAACAGTGTGCTCACACTGACTGATTTCACACAGTGTCTGCTGTCATCCTGTTAGCATGTAAACAGTGTGCTCACAGTGACTGATTTCACACAGTGTCTGCTGTCATCCTGTTAGCATGTAAACAGTGTGCTCACACTGACTGATTTCACACAATGTCTGCTGTGGTCCTGTTAGCGTGTAAACAGTGTGCTCACACTGACTGATTTCACACAGTGTCTGCTGTCATCCTGTTAGCATGTAAACAGTGTGCTCACACGGACTGATTTCACACAGTGTCTGCTGTCATCCTGTTAGCATGTAAACAGTGTGCTCACACTGACTGATTTCACACAGTGTCTGCTGTCGTCCTGTTAGCATGTAAACAGTGTGCTCACACTGACTGATTTCACACAGTGTCTGCTGTCATCCTGTTAGCATGTAAACAGTGTGCTCACACGGACTGATTTCACACAGTGTCTGCTGTCATCCTGTTAGCATGTAAACAGTGTGCTCACACTGACTGATTTCACACAGTGTCTGCTGTCGTCCTGTTAGCATGTAAACAGTGTGCTCGCACTGACTGATTTCACACAGTGTCTGCTGTGATCCTGTTAGCGTGTAAACAGTGTGCTCACACTGACTGATTTCACACAATGTCTGCTGTCATCCTGTTAGCGTGTAAACAGTGGGCTCACACTGACTGATTTCACACAATGTCTGCTGTCATCCTGTTAACATGTAAACAGTGTGCTCACACGGACTGATTTCACACAGTGTCTGCTGTCATCCTGTTAGCGTGTAAACAGTGTGCTCACACGGACTGATTTCACACAGTGTCTGCTGTGGTCCTGTTAGCACGTAAACAGTGTGCTCACACTGACTGATTTCACACAGTGTCTGCTGTCGTCCTGTTAGCGTGTAAACAGTGTGCTCACACTGACTGATTTCACACAGTGTCTGCTGTGATCCTGTTAGCATGTAAACAGTGTGCTCGCACTGACTGATTTCACACAGTGTCTGTCATCCTGTTAGCGTGTAAACAGTGTGCTCACACTGACTGATTTCACACAGTGTCTGCTGTCATCCTGTTAGCATGTAAACAGTGTGCTCACAGTGACTGATTTCACACAGTGTCTGCTGTCATCCTGTTAGCATGTAAACAGTGTGCTCACACTGATTTCACACAGTGTCTGCTGTGATCCTGTTAGCGTGTAAACAGTGTGCTCACAATGACTGATTTCACACAGTGTCTGCTGTCATCCTGTTAGCGTGTAAACAGTGTGCTCACACTGACTGATTTCACACAGTGTCTGCTGTCGTCCTGTTAGCGTGTAAACAGTGTGCTCACACTGACTGATTTCACACAATGTCTGCTGTCATCCTGTTAGCATGTAAACAGTGTGCTCACACTGACTGATTTCACACAATGTCTGCTGTCATCCTGTTAGCATGTAAACAGTGTGCTCACACTGACTGATTTCACACAGTGTCTGCTGTGGTCCTGTTAGCGTGTAAACAGTGTGCTCACACTGACTGATTTCACACAGTGTCTGCTGTCGTCCTGTTAGCATGTAAACAGTGTGCTCACACTGACTGATTTCACACAATGTCTGCTGTGGTCCTGTTAGCATGTAAACAGTGTGCTCACACTGACTGATTTCACACAGTGTCTGCTGTCGTCCTGTTAGCATGTAAACAGTGTGCTCACACTGACTGATTTCACACAGTGTCTGCTGTGATCCTGTTAGCATGTAAACAGTGTGCTCGCACTGACTGATTTCACACAGTGTCTGCTGTCATCCTGTTAGCGTGTAAACAGTGTGCTCACACTGACTGATTTCACACAGTGCTGTCATCCTGTTAGCATGTAAACAGTGTGCTCACACTGACTGATTTCACACAGTGTCTGCTGTGGTCCTGTTAGCATGTAAACAGTGTGCTCACACTGACTGATTTCACACAGTGTCTGCTGTGATCCTGTTAGCATGTAAACAGTGTGCTCACACTGATTTCACACAATGTCTGCTGTCATCCTGTTAGCGTGTAAACGGTGTGCTCACACTGACTGATTTCACACAATGTCTGCTGTGGTCCTGTTAGCACGTAAACAGTGTGCTCACACTGACTGATTTCACACAGTGTCTGCTGTGATCCTGATAGCATGTAAACAGTGTGCTCACACTGACTGATTTCACACACTGTCTGCTGTCATCCTGTTAGCATGTAAACAGTGTGCTCACACTGACTGATTTCACACAGTGTCTGCTGTCATCCTGTTAGCATGTAAACAGTGTGCTCACACTGACTGATTTCACACAGTGTCTGCTGTCATCCTGTTAGCGTGTAAACAGTGTGCTCGCACTGACTGATTTCACACAGTGTCTGCTGTCATCCTGTTAGCATGTAAACAGTGTGCTCGCACTGACTGATTTCACACAGTGTCTGCTGTCATCCTGTTAGCATGTAAACAGTGTGCTCACACTGACTGATTTCACACAGTGTCTGCTGTGATCCTGTTAGCGTGTAAACAGTGTGCTCACACTGACTGATTTCACACAGTGTCTGCTGTCATCCTGTTAGCGTGTAAACAGTGTGCTCACACGGACTGATTTCACACAGTGTCTGCTGTGGTCCTGTTAGCGTGTAAACAGTGTGCTCACACTGACTGATTTCACACAGTGTCTGCTGTCGTCCTGTTAGCATGTAAACAGTGTGCTCACACGGACTGATTTCACACAGTGTCTGCTGTGGTCCTGTTAGCACGTAAACAGTGTGCTCACACTGACTGATTTCACACAGTGTCTGCTGTCGTCCTGTTAGCATGTAAACAGTGTGCTCACACTGACTGATTTCACACAGTGTCTGCTGTGGTCCTGTTAGCATGTAAACAGTGTGCTCACACTGACTGATTTCACACAGTGTCTGCTGTGGTCCTGTTAGCGTGTAAACAGTGTGCTCACACTGACTGATTTCACACAGTGTCTGCTGTGGTCCTGTTAGCACGTAAACAGTGTGCTCGCACTGACTGATTTCACACAGTGTCTGCTGTCATCCTGTTAGCATGTAAACAGTGTGCTCGCACTGACTGATTTCACACAGTGTCTGCTGTCATCCTGTTAGCATGTAAACAGTGTGCTCGCACTGACTGATTTCACACAGTGTCTGCTGTCGTCCTGTTAGCATGTAAACAGTGTGCTCACACTGACTGATTTCACACAGTGTCTGCTGTGGTCCTGTTAGCATGTAAACAGTGTGCTCACACTGACTGATTTCACACAGTGTCTGCTGTGGTCCTGTTAGCGTGTAAACAGTGTGCTCACACTGACTGATTTCACACAGTGTCTGCTGTCATCCTGTTAGCATGTAAACAGTGTGCTCACACTGACTGATTTCACACAGTGTCTGCTGTCATCCTGTTAGCATGTAAACAGTGTGCTCACACTGACTGATTTCACACAGTGCTGTCATCCTGTTAGCATGTAAACAGTGTGCTCGCACTGACTGATTTCACACAGTGTCTGCTGTCATCCTGTTAGCATGTAAACAGTGTGCTCGCACTGACTGATTTCACACAGTGTCTGCTGTCATCCTGTTAGCATGTAAACAGTGTGCTCGCACTGACTGATTTCACACAGTGTCTGCTGTCATCCTGTTAGCATGTAAAACAGTGTGCTAGCACTGACTGATTTCACACAGTGTCTGCTGTGGTCCTGTTAGCATGTAAACAGTGTGCTCGCACTGACTGATTTCACACAGTGTCTGCTGTCATCCTGTTAGCATGTAAACAGTGTGCTCGCACTGACTGATTTCACACAGTGTCTGCTGTCATCCTGTTAGCATGTAAACAGTGTGCTCACACTGACTGATTTCACACAGTGTCTGCTGTGGTCCTGTTAGCACGTAAACAGTGTGCTCACACTGACTGATTTCACACAGTGTCTGCTGTCATCCTGTTAGCGTGTAAACAGTGTGCTCACACTGACTGATTTCACACAGTGTCTGCTGTGGTCCTGTTAGCACGTAAACAGTGTGCTCACACTGACTGATTTCACACAGTGTCTGCTGTGGTCCTGTTAGCACGTAAACAGTGTGCTCACACTGACTGATTTCACACAGTGTCTGCTGTCGTCCTGTTAGCATGTAAACAGTGTGCTCACACTGACTGATTTCACACAGTGTCTGCTGTCATCCTGTTAGCGTGTAAACAGTGTGCTCACACTGACTGATTTCACACAGTGTCTGCTGTCATCCTGTTAGCGTGTAAACAGTGTGCTCACACTGACTGATTTCACACAGTGTCTGCTGTCGTCCTGTTAGCATGTAAACAGTGTGCTCGCACTGACTGATTTCACACAGTGTCTGCTGTGGTCCTGTTAGCACGTAAACAGTGTGCTCGCACTGACTGATTTCACACAGTGTCTGCTGTCGTCCTGTTAGCGTGTAAACAGTGTGCTCACACTGACTGATTTCACACAGTGTCTGCTGTCATCCTGTTAGCATGTAAACAGTGTGCTCGCACTGACTGATTTCACACAGTGTCTGCTGTCATCCTGTTAGCATGTAAACAGTGTGCTCGCACTGACTGATTTCACACAGTGTCTGCTGTCGTCCTGTTAGCATGTAAACAGTGTGCTCACACTGACTGATTTCACACAGTGTCTGCTGTCGTCCTGTTAGCATGTAAACAGTGTGCTCACACTGACTGATTTCACACAGTGTCTGCTGTCGTCCTGTTAGCATGTAAACAGTGTGCTCACACTGACTGATTTCACACAGTGTCTGCTGTGGTCCTGTTAGCATGTAAACAGTGTGCTCACACTGACTGATTTCACACAGTGTCTGCTGTGGTCCTGTTAGCATGTAAACAGTGTGCTCACACTGACTGATTTCACACAGTGTCTGCTGTCATCCTGTTAGCATGTAAACAGTGTGCTCACACTGACTGATTTCACACAATGTCTGCTGTCATCCTGTTAGCATGTAAACAGTGTGCTCACACTGACTGATTTCACACAATGTCTGCTGTCGTCCTGTTAGCATGTAAACAGTGTGCTCACACTGACTGATTTCACACAGTGTCTGCTGTGGTCCTGTTAGCATGTAAACAGTGTGCTCACACTGACTGATTTCACACAATGTCTGCTGTCGTCCTGTTAGCATGTAAACAGTGTGCTCACACTGACTGATTTCACACAGTGTCTGCTGTCCTCCTGTTAGCATGTAAACAGTGTGCTCGCACTGACTGATTTTCACACAGTGTCTGCTGTCATCCTGTTAGCATGTAAACAGTGTGCTCGCACTGACTGATTTCACACAGTGTCTGCTGTCATCCTGTTAGCATGTAAACAGTGTGCTCACACTGACTGATTTCACACAGTGTCTGCTGTGGTCCTGTTAGCATGTAAACAGTGTGCTCACACTGACTGATTTCACACAGTGTCTGCTGTCATCCTGTTAGCGTGTAAACAGTGTGCTCACACTGACTGATTTCACACAGTGTCTGCTGTGGTCCTGTTAGCACGTAAACAGTGTGCTCACACTGACTGATTTCACACAGTGTCTGCTGTGGTCCTGTTAGCACGTAAACAGTGTGCTCACACTGACTGATTTCACACAGTGTCTGCTGTCGTCCTGTTAGCATGTAAACAGTGTGCTCACACTGACTGATTTCACACAGTGTCTGCTGTCATCCTGTTAGCGTGTAAACAGTGTGCTCACACTGACTGATTTCACACAGTGTCTGCTGTCATCCTGTTAGCGTGTAAACAGTGTGCTCACACTGACTGATTTCACACAGTGTCTGCTGTCGTCCTGTTAGCATGTAAACAGTGTGCTCACACTGACTGATTTCACACAGTGTCTGCTGTCGTCCTGTTAGCATGTAAACAGTGTGCTCACACTGACTGATTTCACACAGTGTCTGCTGTCGTCCTGTTAGCATGTAAACAGTGTGCTCACACTGATTTCACACAATGTCTGCTGTGATCCTGTTAGCATGTAAACAGTGTGCTCACACTGACTGATTTCACACAATGTCTGCTGTCATCCTGTTAGCATGTAAACAGTGTGCTCAGACTGACTGATTTCACACAATGTCTGCTGTCATCCTGTTAGCATGTAAAGAGACGTGGCAGGACCCCCCCAGGAGTGCGTGATGAGCGAGGCCGGCTGGAGTTGGCGCTAGGGCAGCTGCCAGTCCCTTTGCGTTGGTTCGAGTGTCGACGGCGTCGCTGTGCAGCTGGTTCTAGGCCTCGTGTTCGCAGCTGTTTTTCACTGAGTCCCCGTCAGGCGGGCAGGCCCGTGGCCCGGAGCGCTGGGGGAAGCACCTGCCCGGGAGGCTCCTCAACCCAGGCTCCCGAGTAGCTGGGATTACAGGCATCCGCCACCACGCCCGGCTAATTTTCGTATTTTTAGTAGAGATGGGGTTTCACCATCTTGGCCAGGCTGGTCTTGAACTCCTGAACTCAAATGATCCGTCCGCCTCGGCCTCCGAAAGTGCTGGGATGACAGGCGTGAGCCACCGCGCCCGCCTCCTTCCTCGTTTTCTATGTCAGAGGCCGCAGGCACCGGGGCACCCGCTGGCCAAGGCGCGGCTGCTGAGGGCGGTGCGGGGCGTTGGGGTGTTGGGGTGTCGGGGTCACCGGTGGGAACACGCTGGGGCGTTTGCGGGACCCGCTCAGAGCTGGAGCTGACACCCTCGGGCGGGGCTTCCTGAGGCCTCTGGGAAGCTGCTTGTCCGCGCGGGGTCGGGGGTTCCGGGGGAGCGCATGAGTCCGGCCGACCGGGGAGGCGCAGGGGGACCTTGAGGCCGATTCCAGGCGCGGCCAAGCAACCCCCGCAGGACCCCCCAATGCCCCCCATGCTGCGGCCCCGGGCGAGGGCAGACCGTGGGGTCAGGGGTCGCGGGGCGCTTGTGGGGAGCCTGGGCCTGGCCTGGGGGAGAACGTTCTGTGGGGGACAGACCGGGAAGGGACCCCCGGGGAATGGCCGAGCCTGGAGAGGCAGATGCAGCAGCGGGGTCCCGGGGAGGGCGGCATCCCGGGGGGCGGGGTCCTGGGGGGGCGGGGTCCTGGGGGGGCGGGGTCCCGGGGGGGGCGGGGTCCTGGGGGGCGGGGTCCCGGGGGGGCGGGGTCCCGGGGGGGCGGGGTCCCGGGGAGGGCGGGGTCCCGGGGGGCGGGGTCCCGGGGGGGCGGGGTCCCGGGGGGGCGGGGTCCCGGGACCAGATGACGGCGGATTCCTCCTCTCCAGGGAGCTTGGGGGGCTCTGAGTGGGGGGCGCGTGTCCCGCGGGGAGGGTCTCCGGCTTCTCGGGGCCACGGGGGGAGGTTGCGGGGGCTGGGGGCGGCCGGGGCTGCCGGCCGCGGCCCCGAAAGGCCTCTCCGGGGGATCCGGGGGCCGCGGCTCCTCCCAGGGCCTCAGGTCCGTGAGTCACAGGCAGCCGGTGTTCAGGGAAAGTCAAACGTTCTTTTCTTTCCAATCCCATGAAACAAACGCTCAGAGCCTGTCCCGCCGCAGGGGCTCAGCGCCGTCATTCCTGGGGCGTCCTCTCCCTTTCCCGGGGGCCCCGGTCCCTGTGTTCCCAGCTACGGCCGGACGCGGGGAGAAGCGGCCAAATCGCGAAGGGCCTGGACAGGGCCGCGCGCGGATCGGACTGTGCTGGGGGAGCTGAGAGGGGCCGCGGGCGATCGAGGGGTCCGGCTCCCGAGAGGCGATGCCCAGAGGCCGGGACAGAATCTAGACGGGGCCGAGTCCCCAGCCCGGGCCCCGGCGGCCTCCACGTGGGAAGACACGCAGGGCCCGGGAGCTCGGAGTGGGCGCAGGGCGGCCTCGGCTGTGTCAACAGATGGGCAGAAACCCCAGCGTGTGCCAAGCTGTAGTCGCCGGTGGGTCTTAAGCGTTTTAGTCTTGGGACATTTTTACACTTTGAAAATTACTGAAGACTCTCAGAGCTTTTGTTTTTGTGCATTATAACCTTCAAAATATACCGTATTAGCGGCTGGGCGCGGTGGCTCACGCCTGTAATCCCAGCACTTTAGGAGGCCGAGGCGGGCGGATCACGAGGTCAGGAGATCGAGACCATCCTGGCTAACACGGTGAAACCCCGTCTCTACTGAAAATACAAAAAAATAGCCGGGTGAGGTGGCGGGCGCCTGTAGTCCCAGCTACTGGGGAGGCTGAGGCAGGAGAATGGCGGGAACCCGGGAGGCGGAGCTTGCAGTGAGCTGAGATTGCACCACTGCACTCCAGCCTGGGCCACAGAGCGAGACTCCATCTCAAAAACCAAAACAAAACAAAAACAAAAAACATATATATATAAATATACACATACGTATGTATATATACACATGTATAAACACATGTATATATAAATATATACACATGTATATGTATATATAAATACATATGTATAAATATATATAATACATATGTATGTGTATACATATGTATATAATATATACATATGTATGTATATACATATATGCATATATACACATATATACATATATATGTATACCGTATTAGCAATTAGAGCTGAGACATTTAAAAATACTTATGGCTTCATTTATGTTTACATTTCAAAATTTACTTATACATTTTAGATTTATGTAAATTTATGGGGCACAAGTGTAATTTTGTTACAGGCATACATTGCACAGTGGTGAAGCCACGGCTTTTAGGGAACCCCAATAAGGTGTGCTGTACCCGTTAAGTACTTTCTCCCCAACCCCCCACTCCCTCCCGGACTCTACGGCCTGTCATTCCACACTCCGTGTCCACACGTGATTCAGCTCCACTTATGAGTAAGAACATGCAGCGTTTGTCTTTCTGTTCCACTTAAGAGAATGGGCACCACTTCCATCCACATTGCTGCAAAGCAACCATTTCATCCTTTTCTGATCCATTTAAAAACAGCAATAATAAACCCATTAAGTGTTAACATATAGGATAAAATTTTAGTAATATTTTTAGTAAAAAGAATGGCATTATCTTACATTTTGCAAACCCCTTTCACTGGGTTCTCTGATTTGAACTGCTGTGATACTGTTGCTCTGGTTGAAATTGAGAAGAAAACCTGGCCACACACAGACATTGAGTTGGGACAGAGGATTATTTACCAGCCTTTTTGGATCATTACGCGTCGTCTTTCTTGGGGTTATGCAACACGTGGTAAGTGACGGTTTCCTCAAGGTGAGCTGCTGTGGAACCGGAGACCATGGTGCATGCGCTCTGCGCTCAGCCAGGCTGTGACGTGAGGCGATCACACGCTTTGGGTGGGTTCTCACCCGGCGTGGCTTCGTAGCATCCTGCAACAGTCATCTGGAAAAGGTCAGTTCACCGAGTCATGTGGAGCTTCCAAATGTTGACGTGTTTCTTTATTTAATATCAAAAGTCACATTTGCGAATATCACCACCAACTTCCTCGGAAAAGTCTTGAAGTGCTGACTGGGAAGCTCACAGTGATGGATACAAGTTTTCCAAAATTCTAATTTTTGCTTGAAAGCTCAAATTTTGTTATTGGCAACAAATACTGCAAGTTTACCTTAAAGCAACAGGCTCATTTTGCTCATTTTCAAGAAAATGCCTGCCCGATGCCCGATGACCGTGGCTAGTTGGTTGTTTTTTCAGGTACAGACGTAGCTGGGGGGTGGGGGCCGTGGCTCCAGACTCAGCCACACACTTTCTCCCAGTCCCGTCAGCTTCCATGTGTGGTCCACGCACTCTGCCTGCATTTCCCGTGTACTGCCCCACCTGTGGCCATGCACCCTGCTGTGCTGTGTGCAAGGCTGAGATAGAACAGAACGGATAGTTTTTCTGCCCCAGGGGGCCTTTTAAAAGTGGAGCTATTGTTTCTACTGCACAGTAAGTGCTGGTGGTGGGAAGGCAGGGTGTGGAGCTGCCGCCCTGTGCCCAATACGGAGCCGCCATTCGCAGATGTCGCCCGCTGGAGAAGGCATTGTCACAAAAGTAGTGACATATTGTCACACAGTGTCACTTAGCTTTGTCACAAACGTAGTTCTGATCTGCAGACCCACTGGCAGAGTCCCTGGGAACTTACCCCATGCCAGGACCCACAGGCCACGCGGTGAGAACCTCCTGCCATGGGTGAGACCAATCCTTCACGGACCGGGAGGGAGGCTGTGGATGGGGCTGGAGCCCCGGGTATGTCCTCAGCTGGCTGGAGAGCCTCCCCCAGGGGCGATGTGGGCAAGTCCACGTCTGCTGGGGTCCCTTCCCTGGTTCGTGAACCTGAGAGGCCACCCTGGGCCCCTGGCGCCCCTCCCTGCAGGTCAGCGCCCCTGGCTTGCTGTTCTTGAGACTCCCTCTACTTCCCACGCGCCACTCCCAGCACGTGGAGACGCCTGTTTCTCCTGGGCAGATGGAACCCGATTCTTTCC
Organism: Homo sapiens; assembly: GCF_000001405.40. NCBI lineage: Eukaryota > Metazoa > Chordata > Mammalia > Primates > Hominidae > Homo > Homo sapiens. The sequence continues at coordinate 50,895 of NT_187617.1, read as the reverse complement.
AACTTGGGAAACGTAATCGGTCTTTTCTGTTATGTTTCCATTTGTTTCTCAATGTTAAATTTCTGTGAACAAAACTTCCCATTGGTGACTGTTTTAAAGACCCTCAGAACCTGGTCCGCCACTCTAGAGGCTCTATCACCATAGGCCCTGGGCTGCCTGGAGGAGCGAGTGAGGGGTCCATGCTGCGTCAGGAGCTGGGGACTGCTGGGGATGAGATGCGTCTCTTTGGCCAGGGCGTTTGCTTTAGAGCTATGAGGCAGCCAGGAAGCTGGGCCACAGGCGGGAGGCCTGGGGTCCGGGCGCTACAGCCAGTGCCAGCTCCTGCTTTCCACGGCCGGCGGGTTCTACCATAGCCTCGGCAAGTCATCAGCAAACGTCCCTTACAGACACTCCATCCGGACACGTGTGCCTCATTGCCAGGTGGTCTCTCTGCCGAACCCACATCTGTGATGGCAGAACTCAGCTCAGAGCAGGTGTGGCAGGAGGCGAGGGAGGGAACACCGGCACCCTCACAGCAGCTGGGCCCTTCCACACACCCTCCAAGCTTGTCACCCAGTAGGCCGGCCGGGCGCCATGGCCCGGAGGTCCCTGTGGCCGGCAGGAGAGTTGCCAGCACGGGAGCTGAGACCCTCTTGTCAGACTCAGGCGCCCTCTCTCTCCTCCCTATGAAAATAAAAGCTTAGAAAGCAGAAAGCCAGCAGACAGCCGGGACTGCTCCCCTCGCCCCTGACCCTCCATGCTGCTGCTTTGTTTGCTGCTACCTCAGACGGTGGAGCCGTCTCCCCAGGCCGTGTCGCAGGTCCTTTCTGCTCCGGGCAAAAGAATCGCAGAGCCTGATTCCACAGGAGAGCATGAGTGTGAGACTGGGAGGCAAGCTCTGGCTGAAGCCGCAACCCTGACGGCAGTAATTTCCCTTGGTTTTGAATTTTCACCTAAAAAAAAAATCCATGTTTAGCCTTAGGATAATAATAGCTACTGTTCCTAGCTACATTGCTTGTACAATGTGCACACACACATTGCCACGGCATGCCTTTGAATTGAACCTGGCATACCTGCAAGGTCAAAGCTGAGTTCATGGCTTGTGACAGGCAGTGAGCAGCTGCCAGTGCTGCCCTGCCCATGTGTGCCCACATGTACCCAAGTATGCCCGCATGTACCCAGGTGTGCCTGCATGTGCCCAGGTGTGCCCACATGTACCTGCGTGTGCCTGCAGATACCCGCGTGTGCCCACATGTACCCGGGTGTGCCCGCAGATACCCAGGTTGCCCACATGTACCCAAGTGTGCCCACATGTACCTAGGTGTGCCCACATGTACCCACGTGTGCCTGCAGATACCCACGTGTGCCCGCATGTACCTGGGTGTGCCTGCAGATACCCAGGTTGCCCACATGTACCCAAGTGTGCCCGCATGTAGCCGGGTGTGCCCCCATGTACCCATGTGTGCCCATGTGTGCCCACGTGGGCAGGGTGAGCAGAGCCAGCACAGTTGCCCACTGGCTCTGACACAGAGGCTTGAAGAAAACCCTGGGACCCTCAGTGAGGGGCATACCCAGCCTGCGGGGAAGATGAAGCCACCTTCTGGCGTCTCACCCAGCGGCCAGCTCCTGCGGAGCCTCCCGACAGAGCACGAAGGAGCGTGGACAGGGCTCCAGTTTAGTTCTGACATGCGTTGGAAGCACCTGCGGACATCCACTTTGCAAAGCAGCTGCTGTACTGGTGCGGCTGGGGTGTGGCCTAGGCCGTTCCTCTATTCTAGGAGGAGTGGGGCTCCAGGTGAGGTTCTGACTCCAACTCTCTTGGACAGGACAGACACGGCCTCCTGCACAGCGGCTGCTGCACCCAGCACCGGGGCTGGTCCAGCTCCGCGTCTTCACCACTGAGCAGCTTTTACTTGATCCTATTTTGTGAGGATATGGTCTTTAAAGTCACGTGCCTCTGGAGGTTGGGAACCTGCATGACAAATACAGTTTTGGGGCAGTTACTTTCTTTTTTCTTTTCTTTTTTTTTTTTTAGATGGAATCTCACTCTGTCGCCCAAGCTGGAGTGCAGTGGCGCGGTCTCGGCTCACTGCAAGCTCCGCCTCCCGGGCTGATGCCCTTCTCCTGCCTCAGCCTCCTGAGTAGCTGGGACTACAGGCGCCCGCCACCACGCCTGGCTAATTTTTTGTATTTTTAGTAGAGACGGGGTTCCACCGTGTTAGCCAGGATGGTCTCGATCTCCTGACCTCGTGACCCACCCGCCTCGGCCTCCCAAAGTGCTGGGGTTACAGGCGTGAGCCCCTGCACCCAGCCTGGGCCCATTACTTTCGGCGTGACAGCTGGAGTGTGTCCGTCCTGAAGACTATTTAAGGAGAGGAAGGCCAGCCTGATGCTCTAGCTCAGGGAACTTGGTCATCCAGCAGATACCAGACAGGGCGACCCCTTCGGCCCATCCAGGGAGGGAACAAAGGAAGAAGGCTGTCAGGGCAGCCAGGCCACTCCCATTGTCCTGCAGATGCTGCCGTGCTCCTGGTCACCCATGGGAGCTGCCAAAGGGGACCCCAACTTTTCTTGGGAAAGTGCCCATCCCTGGGCCTGTGGGCCCCTCCGGCGATGGGTCAGCGCCACCCTCTGAAGGGCACAGGGGCGTGGGGGCAGCGGTGTCAGTTTGCTTCCTCGGCGTCGTAGCCACAGCCGTGACATGCCAGCCTGCTTCCCACATGGAAGAGGTATTTTGCTCCTCCCCTGACCCTGGGAGGTCCTGGGCCCCTTCACACCTTTGCATAACAAACAGAAAAGGCCGGCTGGGCAGTTTCCATGCAGGCCAACCCACTGTGCTTATTAGCACACAATGAAAATTATTAGGTGAGACAAACACCCCCACAATAGCAAAGAAAACAAACCAAACCCGTCTACACAGATTCCCACAGTCCGTGTGACTCACTCTGCCTGTTATCATGCGGTGGGCGGGAGCTTTATTCCCAACGTGTCTCATTGCTCAGATGTTTTCTGCTCTTCCTGATCCTGACTTCTCCTTTGGGCCTAATCAGGGCACGGCTCTGGGCCGGATCGGGGCCTTTGGCTGCGCTGCCTCAGGCCTGGGTTCTCACGGCCTGGGGTGAACCTGGCGTCCGGTGAGGAAGGGGCTGGAAACAGAGCTGCCTCAGCCTTGGGTGTCCATAGGGAGGTGTGTGGGGCCCTCTCGGCTGTCCCCACTTTACTTTCTCGGGGGATTTTATAAATTTATTTCCAAGAGCACATGCCCAGTTTATATGCACAGCCAACCGAGCCCTTTGCCCGACTCACGCCCATTCCGGAGTGGAGGTGACCATCCCGCGTGGATGAGTGCAGGGAAGCTCCGATGCGCCAGGCTCCCGAGGCAAAAAGATGCAACTCCTCCGAGCCACGGTGCGGTGAGGAGGAGGAGGCTCTTGCTGCTTGGGCCAGCCCCTGCCTGGCCAAGCTCCCAGATAAAAGGTGGGGCGGTGCTGTCCTTCGCCCTCCTGCTGGCCTGAGATCTGAAGGGAGGCACATTCTGGAGGGTGCCGGCTCAGGGAGCCTGACCCAGAGAGCTGGACACCTGGGGTGTGGCTCAGGGCTAGGGTTAGATTTGGGAGGAAGGACGGCCAGGCCCGGGGTCTGAGTATGGCCCCACCCTCTGCTCTCAGATGCCGGGGTCCAGAAAGCAGCAGAGGCCGGGGCTTAGCCTGTCCTGGGGTGGCTCAGAGGCGGGGGCTCAGCCTGCCTGGGGTGGCTCAGAGGCGGGGGCTCAGCCTGCCTGGGGTGGCTCAGAGGCGGGGGCTCAGCCTGCCCTGGGGTGGCTCAGTGGCGGGGGCTCAGCCTGCCTGGGGTGGCTCAGTGGCGGGGGCTTTACCACGAAGAAAGGCACTTGCTGGAGCAGGCCCCGAGCTCAGCCCTATGCTCTGGGGTCCTGACCCACATCTAGCAGCAGATGCAGCAGGGACACCAATTGGGAGGCACGTTGACCAGCCAAGGCCACCAGCCTGGCCACTGTGCTGAGACAGGCCCCAGCCCAGCCCGGAGCAAGTCCTTCGCGGTCACTTTCCACTCACCCAGGCAAAGCCCTTACCCAGGAGGTGATGACGGCCTTGGGGGAGCTCGGTCAGTCAGGGAGGATGGCGCGCCTGAGAGTGCACGGTGTCCTGTGGTCACGGTGGGGCACAAGGGGTCCCATCTTCCTGGAGCACATGAGGTCCTGTCTTCCCGGGGCATGTGGGGTCCTGTCTTCCTGGAGCATGTGGGGTCCCGTCTTCCTGGGGCTTGCGGAGGGGCCGTTTACCCTGGGCTGGGGGGGAAGGGCCCAGTTGTTCATCACAGGGGCCCCTTCTCTTCTATGAGTCCCCCCTTTTCTGGGGACACCAGTGGCAAGAGCCTAGGCATCTCTAGAACTGGCCATAAACCACAGCAAAGGCCTCGTGTTCTACAGAATGTGAGGATTTTCAATGACATGGCATCACTTGGAGCGCACTGGCCCCTGCTTTGCAGTCACCAATGCCGAGGTCACTGCTCTGGGGGCTGTGTAGGGCGTGTGTCTCTGCATCCGTATCTCTGTCGTGTGTCCGGGGCTGTGGCTCTGCATCTGACCTGGCCCAGCTTCACTCTGTGGGGAGTCTTGGGGCCTCCCTGAGCCCCAAAGCTGGGCCCACGTGGCCAGTCCCCTCACAGACACTGGCTGCTGCCATTTCCTTTGAGCTGTGTTCCCACCTCAGGTCCACCTGCTGCTGGGTGCTGCTCTCCTCAGCCTCTCGGCCTGGGGAAGCTGCCTCGCCCCTCCCGTGCTGGAAAATCCCACCTGGGCCCAGCTGTTGGTGCAGGCGGCTGCAGGCTGGAGGGGAAGCACTGGGAAGCCACTGAACGTCCAGGTGAGCCTTGACGGCCTCTCAGCCCCTTCCCTCAGCCATGCAGCAACCAGCTCCGCCAACTTTGCCCACACACGCAGCCCCTCCTCCTCCCAGGCTCAGCCCCCTCCAAGTCCAGGAAACCCCTGGGTACACTCGCTCCGTAAGAGCGTTCTTCTGTTTTTCTGCCTGCTTGGGGCATGTGAGATTTACAGCCCTGGAATTTTAGAAAGCAGTTCTGGTGTCTGCGTTTGCTTGGTCAGTTGCAAAGGCATTGCCCATTTTGTCTTGGAGCAGAGGCATCTGCCATCACATGCTCCGTGCCATGGGTGAGGGACAAGGGGTCTCTCCCTGCGCTCTGTGTCCAGCATGGACTCTGCAGTTTGTTCCTTCTGAGCTTGTGATGCTCAGAGCTTGGCCGGGACGGAGCTGGTGGCCTCAGCTTCCAAGCTCCGGAGCTCAGCGTGGAGGAAGGGCGCTGCCATCCTCCCGCAGCTCAGCCTGTGAAGCAGCTGTCAGAACATCTCAGATTGGGTGTCTCCGTCTCTCCTGGCTCCTCGGAGGTGAAGGTCCTTGCAGTCAGTCCTGGAGAGTGGCCCGTGGCCAGGTCCCGGAAACCGCGTGTACCTGTGCCTCACCCTGTGAAGGCTGGGCAGGCAGCGTCCTTGGCCACAGTCGAGAATGTAACTGCGGCTCATGGAAATGAGCCCTGAGAAATCACACGACTGATTTTCACAGATTTCCATTCTTCGAACATTCCACTCTTTGAAAAAGATTTTCTCCTGGCTTTTTCAATCAAAAGCACACACTCTAGGCAGACTGACTATTACTGTAGCCAATGCCGTGAGCTGGCATGTGGGAGGGAAGGCTCTGGATCCTTCTGGAATATGGAATGGGCTCGGAAGGGAGACACACTTGATCCGAGTCCCAGCTCCGCACTGTCCCCGGGCTCCTGCCTCTGAGACCCTCGGGGCTCTGTGGAAACAAGGGGTGATGCCCAGGTGGGACCAGTGCCCTGGAATGTCCTCTGTACTGAATAAATGTCGGCTCCCCTTGAAGCCTACACGGCACTGGCAAATGAGTTCTGTAGCCGACTGTAAGTTAATTAGTACAACTCTTGCTCTCTTATTATTCTTAGACACAAAGTTAATTTGGAAAGATACATGTTTCTTTTAAAGTTGCATGGTTAAAAGCATGTGGGAGCTGAGCTTAATTAAGAGAGAGTGGCTCCTAGCGTGCAAGGGTTGCAGTTGGAGAAAAACATCATTAGATTAAGGGTTTCGCTGCCTTACCCAGCACAGCTGCCCCAGGCCGCTGGCCTCTCCATGCAGTGGATGGTGGATTGACCCGGCGTGAACTCTGTGCAGCTCCCGGAGGGGCCTGAGGTGCACGCACACCAGCAGTGGGGAGGGCAGTGGGGCTCAGGCACTGCGGGAGCGAGGGTGGGGGCAGCGCCCGTGGAGTTGACCCCGGAGCCACCCGTGCGCCAAGCCTGCCGGCATCCTCACAGGTACAGGCCACGCGGAAGCCCCCAAGAGGGCGTGAGCCCCGGCTGCGTTTTAAGCCCTGGAGGAGGGGATATTGTGAGTGGCTTCAGACTCCTGTGCCCTGGTCCGTGGGCCAAGGACTGGGGCTGGCATCTGCACTCGGTGCTGAAAGCTTCCAGCAAGAAGACTTGGAGCTTCCTTTCTAAGGCATCTCCCTGGCTCTCAGGAGTCTCTGCGGAGCTGAGGGTGCCCGTGGCCTGCCCCAAAAGGCCCAGCAGCCCCAGCGCCCTCCTCTCTGGGCCTGGACCCACAGTGAGGAGGGGGCCACGCTCCTCAGGGGTACTGAGGGCAGGGACAGGAAGATTGTGGGAAGTGCCTGGCTCGAGTGATCAGCCTCCGTCCCTCTGGCCCCATGGAGACGGGGCCTTCGGGCCCTGATGGAGCTGCTCACCGGGGCTCAGGCCTTGGATCCCCCCACAGGGCTGCTGTCCCAGGAGCAGAGGTCCCTCCCTGTGCCCTGGCCCTTGAGGCCCCTGGCGTGTTGCTGGTGTGCAGTAGTGTGTGCACAAGAGTTAGCTGGAGGCCCTGCCTGCCGCTTGGCTGCTGTTGTGTCTCCACAGGCTGTGGGGCAAGAGGCAGAGCATGTGTTGTCTGTGCTCGGCCGCCCCAGGCCTGGCGGAAGGGCTGGGCAGGCTCCTGTGAGCGCTGTGAACGCCGGGCACCCCCCGCGGCGCCGTCTTCCTTCCTCACCTCATGGAACCCTCTTGGCGTTTCACACGCGGGGACTCTGAGGGCGGGTTGTCGGGGACAGCACTCCACGGCCTCTTGTGGCATGTCCAGATGATCTTTTCAAAGACATCTGCAGGAGGCAGAGACGGTGCCTCGCCTGGGCCGGGGCAGTGGCTCCCTCCGCCTGGGATCTGGGGTCTCCCTGCCAGGGCTCCCTGTGTGTGTGCAGGTCCCGGGCCTGGCTCCAATCCTCAAAACCACCATTGCTGTGAAAACCACCCTGGAGGGTCGTGTCTCTGGCCAGCAGCCATGAATCCCGCAGGCCATTGAGGCTCCTCCGTGTGCAATCTCAGTGCCTTGTGCAGCTGGACGTGTGAGGAGCTGCCAGGGCCGTGGGGAGCCGGGCTGGCCCTGGCCAGAGTTGTTTCCCTGCCCCACACCCTTTCACCATTTCGCAGTCTCCACGAGTGTCCTGGGTCTGTGCATTTTCGCACATGGACTGCAGTCCTGGAGAACTGGGATGTGGAGGAGGTTGGGAGCAGTGGTGACAGCAGGGCCAGAGGCGACACAGAGCAGAGGAGCAGAGACCAGGTGAGGAGCAGAGACCAGGTGAGGAGCGCAGACCAGGTGAGGAGCAGAGACCAGGTGAGGAGCAGAGACCAGGTGGGGAGCACAGACCAGGTGAGGAGCAGAGAACAGGTGAGGAGCGCAGACCAGGTGAGGAGCGCAGACCAGGCGAGGAGCAGAGACCAGGCGAGGAGCAGAGACCAGGTGAGGAGCAGAGACCAGGTGAGGTGAGGAGCGCAGACCAGGTGAGGAACGCAGACCACGTGAGGAGCGCAGACCAGGTGAGGAACGCAGACCACGTGAGGAGCAGAGACCAGGCGAGGAGCAGAGACCAGGTGAGGAGCAGAGACCAGGTGAGGTGAGGAGCGCAGACCAGGTGAGGAGCGCAGACCAGGTGAGGAGCGCAGACCAGGTGAGGAACGCAGACCACGTGAGGAGCGCAGACCAGGTGAGGAGCGCAGACCAGGCGAGGAGCAGAGACCAGGTGAGGAGCAGAGAACAGGTGAGGAGCGCAGACCAGGTGAGGAGCAGAGACCAGGTGAGGAGCAGAGACCAGGTGAGGAAGGCAGACCAGGTGAGGAGTGCAGACCTGGCAGGGAACGTAGACCTGGCGGGGAACGCAGACCTGGCGGGGAACGTAGACCTGGCGGGGAACGCAGACTGGGTGTGGGAGCCCCAGCACACAGAGGAGCGCAGACCCAGTGGGGAAGCCAAGGCACGAGCTCGGGAGCCGGCGAGGGGTCCAGGTGCTGGATGAGCAGAGCAGGGTGGGCTCCGGGCCACGGGCAAATGCAGAGAAGGAGCCCTGGGGGAGGCAGAGGGAAGCTTTGCTGCGCAGGAGGGCGAGGAGGGGCATCCCTGGCTCTGGGCACACAGGTGGAGACAGAGGACAGCTGTGCTGTGCTGCATTTTCTGATGGAAAAGATGATAAACTATGTTCACGCTGCCAACAAATACTAAACAATGGCTTTCTCTAAAGCTTAAGAATCATTATGCTAAATAGTAAGTTTAGGGGAGAAGAGACAGAGTCCCCTCACAGAAGAACTCCGGAGAATTTGGTTGGATGCTACACCCTCAAGAAATAAAGTAGTGTTGGGTTACAAAGACATAAAGTAAGCGTCCAAGAATCCATACTCTTGTAACTGACTGAAGAAGTACAGAAATGTGAGGAGGCTGGGCGAGCGTGACGCTCCTCCAGGGCTGAGCTCTGAAGCAGGGTTTGTGTGTGCACACGTGTGTATGTGTGTGCATGTGTGTGCGCACACGTGTGTGTGTGCACACACGTGTGTATGTGTGCATTTGCGCGTGCACACGTGTATGTGTGTGCATGTGTGCGTGCACACGTGTGTGTGTGCCTGTGTGCGCGCACACACGTGTGTATGTGTGCATTTGTGTGTGCATGCGTGTGTATGTGTGCATGTGTGTGCACACGTGTGTGTGCGCATCTATCAGCAGTGTGCCCTGAGGCCTGTGGTCCCCCTGGGAAGCGCTGTTCAGCACAGGTGGGGGTGTCCCAGGGACATTTGGCTGCTGAGAGTTTGGGGGTCAGAGTTGCCCTCGGCAGACGGTGTCCATAAAGAACACTCACAGCTGAAAGACCCACGGCCCAGGTTCCCCTGGGGGTCCCAGGACCTCAGAGTCCAGCTGGTGAGGGGCACTGTCCTGGCCACAGAGACACGGTGGGGGCTCTGCTGTCTGTTGCAGAAACTGGAGTACTGGGCTGAGCAGTACCCCAAATTCGTGTCCTTCAGGAAGCTCAAATGGGACCTTTTTTGGAAATAGGGTCGATGCAGACATCTTTAGTTAAGATGAGGCCACACTGGGTTAGGGAAGGCCCGGAGTCAGGGACTGGTGCTGGTGTCTTTACCGAAGGACGGTCATGTGAATTCGGAGAGATGGGCCCATACAGGGGAGTCAGCTGCGTGCCCAGGGGGCAGAGGGCAGAATGACACAGCCACAAGCCCGGAACGCCTGGGGACACTGGAAGACGCAGGAAGGATCCTCCCCTGGAGCCTTCGGAGGCACCTTAGTTTCAGGCTTGGGGCCTCCAGAGCTGGGAGAGGGTGACGTGCCATTGCTTTAAGTCCCCAGTGTGTGGTTCTTTGCCAGGACAGTCTCAGGACAGGCTACAGGGATGCAGCTCACAGAGGAGCCTGGGACCTCACCTGGGTGGGTGTGGTGGCCTCACGCTGCCCTCTGGGGACTCATCCTGCCAGGCCTTCGGCTCCTCGAAGGGACCCTAGGCAACTTCTCCAAAGCTGTGAGGCAGAGGCCGGCTGAGGATCTCAGGAAGGCTGGGCCTTAGGGCGGCCAATTTGCCCAGGACTGAGGGGTTTCCAGGGTGTGGGGCTTTCAGAGCAAAACCCAGGAAAGCCTCAGGGAGCCGGGCGGTCGCCATCCTGGAGGTGCCAGGCGGGGACGGCCTGTGGGGTGAACAGCCCACGTTCTGGTCTGAAGGGAGTCTCTGCCGCTGCCTGTGGGAGAACTTCTGCTTGAACCAGTGAGCTGGGACTGCGGCCGCGTGTGGAGCTCCAGACACAGGGCCCTCACAGGCACCCACCCAGCCCTGCAGGCCCTGGAAAAGCCCACCGCCTGGGAGGGGCATCCACGCCGGTGACCCAAGACCCCGCCAGCAAGAGCGCAGGCCTGGGAGGGGCGTCCGTGCCAGTGACCCAAGACCCCGCCAGCAAGAACGCCGCAGTCCCTCTCAGGGCGGGGGCGGAGGGCGGCACTGCAGGAAGGTGGCCAGGCCTCCAGGTCTCCTGCCTGGGGAAGGGGCTTTGGAATTGCAGGACCAAAAGCAACTGCTTGTATTTCGCTCTGTGGCTACGGGCAGGGGTGGAGATGGGGCTACACAGGCTCCTGCGGATACTCCCGCCTGGCAGGATCTCAGCGGGGAGGGGCTGTGGCCCTGGGGGTCCTGAGTAGAAGAAACAGACTTTTCTCTGCTCTTACCCACAACAATCAACAGAGACTCCATGACCAGACGTGTGGGGTTTTTCCCACACGCCAAGCAAACAGTCGGTTCTGCACAGACACCAGCAGGAACCCTCCAACTGCGTTCAATTCATTCTGACTCTTTCCCCAGGAGACAGTGTCTGATACCACAGGCTATGGGCTCAGTCCCCAAGACTCTTCCCCATACCCACACCCACTTCAGACACCAGCGGTATAAGTCTGAGCCTTCGGAACTTCTGGCCCACAGGCTGGGTTCCTATGACACGCCCCCACCCCCCCCACCCCTTCCCCGGTTGGGTTCGATTAATTCTCTAGAGCAGCTGCGGAACTCAGGGACACGCACTTACGTGTACCAGGTTTATTATAGATGGTATTGCAAAGGATACAGATGGAGAGGCGCATGGGGCGAGGTGTGGGGAAGGGGCCGGAGTTCCCAGGCCCTCCCTGGGCACTCGCCCTCCAGGAACCTCCAGAGTCCATTATCCGGAAGCCCCCTGACAGTCCTGCTGGGGATCAGCTTGAGTAGCCAAGCACTGTCATCTCCTTAGCAGACAAACAGACATCACTTATGAGACCCCAGGGACTTTAGGAGTTGTATGCCAGGAAATAGGGAGGAAGGCCAAATGTGTATTTCAGAATAGTCGAGGGTAGCTGGAAGGTACCTGGCTCGGCCTGCAGCCTGAATGAGCGGCAAGGCTCCTGGGTCAGGGATCAGGGCCAGGGCAGGGGCAGGGTCTCTCCCAGACCCATCTGGGAGCTGGGACCCACTGAAGGGCCCAGGCAGGATTGGGGTCAAAGCAGGAGAACATGGAGACAGGAAAGAAGCTGACATTTCTTCATGCTGCGAGCTAAATCCCCTGCCCTAGAAGTTGTGGTTTCTTGTACACTGCAGCTGTTGCAAATCACTAACAACACTGTCTGCCCGTCCCTACGTGGAATGATGGAGTTCACTGGAACCACCGAGGGACGCTGCTCTTACTGCTCGGGTGTGAAAGGATGTATCACTGCATTATGATTTTGTTTCTTAAGAAATACTTTTGGCCGGGTGCAGTGGCTCACACCTGTAATCCCAGCACTTTGGGAGGCCGAGGTGGGCAGATCACTTGAGGCCAGGAGTTTGAGACCAGCTTGCCCAACATACTGAAACCCTGTCTCTACTAAAAATACAAAAATTAGCTGGGTGTGGTGGCGCGTGCCTATAACCCCAGCTACTGGGGAGGCTGAAGCAGGAGAATCACTTGAACCCAGGAGTGGGAGGTTGCAGTGAGCTGAGATCGCGCCACTGCACTCCAGTCTGGGCAAAGGAGCGAGACTCTGTCTCAGGAAAAAAAAAAAAAAAAAGTAAAGAAAAAAAGAAGGCCGGGCGCGGTGGCTCACGCCTGTAATCCCAGCACTTGGGGAGGCCGAGGTGGGTGGATCATGAGGTCAAGAGATCGAGACCATCCTGGCTAACACGGTGAAACCCCGTCTCTACTGAAAATACAAAAAATTAGCCGGGCATGGTGGCAGGTGCCTGTAGTCCCAGCTACTTGGGAGGCTGAGGCAGGAGAATGGCGTGAACCCGGGAGGCGGAGCTTGCAGTGAGCCGAGGTCATGCCACTGCACTCCAGCCTGGGCGACAGCGAGACTCCGTCTCAAAAAAAAAAAAAAAAAACTTTCATAACTGTTTTGATACTGTGTTTCAACTGCTTTGTACATTTGTTGACGAAAAGAGTCAGACTCCTTGAAATATTTTTAGAGATTTATTCTGAGCTGAATATGAGTGACCTTGGCCTGTGACACAGCCCTCAGGAGGTCCTGAGAACATGTGCCTAAGGTGGTCGGGGTACAGCTTGGTTTTATATATTTTAGGGAGTCACGAGACATCAGTCAAATACATTGAAGAAATACATTGGTTGGGTTCAGAAAGGCGGGACAACTCAGAGCGGGGCCTTCCAGGCTATCGGTGAATTCAAACATTTTCTGGTTGACAGTTGGTTGAGTTTAAGAAGACCTGGGATCAACAGAGAGGAAATGCGAGGTTGAGATAAAGGACTGCGGAGACCAAGTCTTATTGTGCAGAGGAAGCTCTCAGATAGCAGACTTCAGAGGGAGCAGATTGTGAAATGTTTCTTATCAGACCTAAAAGGTGCCTGGCTCTTAGCTAATTATCTCCTGGATCTGCAAAGGAAGGAAGGAAAACAAAGGGGAAGGGGATTCGCTATAGAATGTGGATTTTTCCCACAAGAGACTTTGCAGGGCAATTTCAAGGTCTGGCAAGGAAATATATTTTGGGATGAAATATTTTGATTTTTTTATTGTCTTATAATGTTATGCCAGAGTCAGACTGGAAAGTAAGTCACGATATATATAGGGTCAAATAAGACCCATCTGATGAGAATTTATGGTTGAAGGGTATGACTCCCTAGACCCCTTAGATAGGAATTGGGGCAAGATAAAAAATTAGAGCTTAGTCCTGATATTCAAAGACATTTCTCGGAGAAGGGTCTGAGAAGAGAGGTGGGGGATCTGGGAGCTGTGTGGAGGGACCCCCTGTGTGCAGAGGAAGGGTCTGAGAAGGGAGGTGGGGGGTCTGGGAGCTGTGTGGAGGGACCCCCTGCGGGTGGGGGAAGGGTCTGAGAGAGGTGGGGGTCTGGGAGCTGTGTGGAGGGACACCCTGCGGGTGGGGGAAGGATGTGAGAGAGGTGGGGGTCTGGGAGCTGTGTGGAGGGACCCCCTGTGGGTGGGGGAAGAGTCTCCTAGCCAGCTGGGGGCCTGAGCTCCCACCACACATTCATTTATTGCCCATTTGTTTCCAAAAGGGATTTGAGGTTGTTCTCAATCAAGAACAGACAACTCCACAGGGATAAGATGATGGCGGAGGGCAGGTGTCGTGGGATTCAGAGAGTGGTAACCTTTGAACACTCAGCTTCCTAGCAGTCAAGACAAAAAGGGCCATCTATGTCTGAAGGGAGGTGGCTTCCAGGGACCAGTGGCTTCTCAGCACAGGTGCCTTGGCAGAGGCTGCCTGACCTCAGACACAGACACCCCTCTGCCCTCTGCCAGTGGCCCAGGGCCAAGTCTCCCAGGGATCTCCCACCTCAGCCGTCTTGATAGTGGCTCCAACACCCACGGGCCATGTCCCTGTCACCCACCGCACTCCGCCCACTGCTGCGTCCTGAGAGTCAGGGTCTCCCCCACAGAACAGGAGACTCCAGAGGGGGTCCCAGGGTTGCTCCCAGCAGCTCTATTTGGACCTCCCCTCCCCAGAGCCCAGCCCCAGCCTCGTTAATTCTGTAATATTTGGTTTTGAAGAAATTTACCATAAATGTATAGATCTTAAAAAATCATGCCAGGGCTGTGATATTCTTGGCAAAAGCCAGTCTGGTGTCCATTTCTGTTGGAGAAGATGAAAGATGAGATTCCAGATGTTCTTTCGGATTTGGGCCATCCCATTCCGTCTGCCACTCAGGAGAGTTCAATAGACCTAACATTTTTGTCTGAAAGGCTTGGGGAGTTTCTCCTCTGCCACACGCTCCTCCTGAGGGAGCCCCTCATTCTGGGACGTGGCTTGTGGCGGCCGTGGCAGCAGCTGGTTCCCGAGGGACAGGACCCACTGGGGTCCCTGAGGCTCCTCCGACAGCAGTGGCAGGGGGCAGGCAGGACCCGGGCAGACGGACCTTTCCAGAAAGACCCACCAGGCTGGACAGGCAGAGTTGCACGGTGGTGAGGCCGGCTCCCAGTGCTGCCACACTTGGCTCCCGAGGGCTAACGATGTCTTCAATCGTACAAAGGCCTCTGATTCACTCCGTAAATCCTATGCTGACACGCTGCCTCTTGGCATCTTATTTTGTTTACTTAGAACCGACTTTGAGGTGAGGAATGCTTGCATGTTGCTGGGTGTTTAGAGGAAGAGTAATAGATTATTTGTAACTCCTGTAATGAAAACATTACGCAGGCACAACGATGGGCTCAGTCCTGCTCATTTTCCGCTGCTAATTGCCAGGGCATACAGGCTCTGTTATGAACTGAAGTGCCATCTGTAACCTCCCACATTTATTAAAATATAATTGCTTTAATGAAATTCTTTTGGAATAAGACATAGTTCAAACAACACACTGCCTTCATGGGTGATTTTCTGGCCAATTACGGACGTGACCACGGAGTCTCTCGCTTTCAATCAGATGGTTTTTCCTTGTAAATGTGTTGGAGAGGACGTTCCAGGGGCTGCTCTGGGCTCTGGCTGGGCTATTTGAACCTTCCACTTTGACCTTAGAAATGCTTCAGTCGTTTTAAAAAGTGCAGAAAATACACCCCCAGCTCTGTGGTCATCCCGGGAGGTGGGTCATGGTGCACATCCCGACACCTTCCCAGGCCCGTCTGCTGCAAGCCCCACCACCTTCCCAGGCCTGCCTGCCTCGAGCCCCTGCCTCCAGGTGCGCTGGTTTATGATGGGGGCGGGGGCGGGGGCAGGTGGCGAGCATTTGCCTGTCTCACAAGTGGAGCTTTTAAGGAAAATTAATGAAGAAACAGACCGGCTAGCTGGGGAGTCTTTAAAAATAGTCCTTTCACCTGGAATCGCTCTCTTCCTCTCAGCCTCAAGTGCCACTTTCCTTACTGGTCGAGAGGGCTCCCCAGACACTGTGCTGCAGTCTGATCTGCCTCGGTGCCCTGCCCGGACAGCGTGGAAGGCGCTGCTCGTGTTCCCGTGGTCTGCCTCGGTGCCCTGCTCTCCCTTTTCTCTCTGGAACAAAGTCATTTGTGCTTTGCGGTGGCATTCTCAGCTGTGAAAAGTCTGATTTAAATGATTTGGCAAATGAGTGGTTCTCCATTCACACCGCCGTTCTGCCTCCTTGGTGGTGGGCGTGGGCTGCGGCTCACACCGGCAGCAGCAGGAACAATGGACTTCACCTGTCCACGCGCCCAGCGCCATTCCCAGTCCTGAGACCTGTGAAACCCACTGGACAAGATGCAGCTCTCGTTCTCAGAGACAAAGGGCCCTGGAGCCTGCAGGAGGTGGGGGGTGTGGCTGGGAGGCAGCTGTGAGTTGCCAGCGTCCCGCACGCTGTGCCCTCCTGCAGCCCTTGCCCGGCACGGTGGGAAGTGACTCCAGCAACCACTCCAGAGTCCAAGCCTAGAGCTCAGAGGTGGCAGGAGAGGCTTCTCGGCCGAGTCGGACGGGGAAGCCTGTGGCTGCCGAGATCACAGCCGCGGTGTCATCCCAAACCAGGGCCGGTGCTGTGGCTTTCACCCTGGATGTGACTTGCCATCTTGGCTAATCTGAGCCGAGGGAGGGACGACGATTTCTCATCCCTTGTGAGTGAGATTTCCTTACATGGTGCACACCTTCCTGGCTTTGGGGATCCCCGCTGTCCTTCAAGGCCTCCTACCTGGTGCCCACCCTGCTGTGAGCTCCCGGCCCTCTCCCGGGGGTGTCCTCCTCGTCCTCCTCTGGGGCTTTGGCGGCTTGTACCCTGGGACACAAGCACGTCTTCACTTGCGGCAGAGTCCCGATGATGACAGGCCATGGAGGCGATGCTGGGTTCACTGCGAGCCACCCGCTGTCAGTGCCCGGGCATGGGTGGTGCCCCCAGCTCATGACCTCGGGTCTCACCCTCATCCCCACCCCTGTGAGGTCCACGGCTGGACAAGAGTGCCCAGCTCCACACCAGCATTTCCTCAGGAGGAGGCTGGGTGGCCCCCAGCAGGAAGTGGGCGCGTTCTCAGCTCCCTGGCATCTGCCTCATCACAGATTTTTGGACGAGGGAGTCCGGAACCTGTGGGACCCCCGCGAGCTCAGGCAGAGGCAGCTGTTCCGGGTCACACAGCCCTTGGCTGTTCTGACAGGCTCTGCTCCCACAAGGACAGAGCACGGGGTCCCCCACGCTGCCTGGGCTCAGCCTTGGTTTTCCATCACAGACCAGTCTGAATCTTGTGCAATGTCATCATGAACTTCTCCCTGCACTTTATATATAAATATGTAGCTCAGTAACAGTGCACCTTGTTCCACAGACACTTCCGAAGGACCTTCTATCCCACACAGCGACCCTCGCTGCAGAAACTGTCGGATGCCAGCGTGTGATGTGTGCTTTCCCGGAGGAGAGGAGACATGGGGTCTGCGTCTCCCTGGGTGCGAATTTGGACACGATGCAGGCAGGGAGGGCCCCCCATCCCTCAAACCCGCCATTAATTCCCCTGCTTTTCCTGAGTCATGGATTTGAAATGCCTTTGTCTAGATCACATCAGATCTTAGAGGTGGTGAACTGCGGGCATTTGTCTTGGGGATAGTGGGTGCTACTCCTCCAGGGACCACGAGCAGCTCCCCATCCTGCCTTCTGGGGACTGATGAAAATGCTCCCACTCCACACCTCCTGTGGTCCGGGCAGCCCAGGGAGTGAGATGCTGGAGCCGGGTCAGGAGCTGGGCGAGGTGCTGGAGCCGGGTCAGGCGCTGGAGCAGAGCCAGGTGACCTCCCATCAATGTCACCCTCAGACCAAACCCATGACGCAGGTTTCAATCCCAGCTGACACTTAGGTTCTGGGTGATCGTAGACATTGTTTATGCCTCTTTTTTTTAATGTTTGATTTTTCTTAAAAGACTACTTTTTCAGAGCAGTTTTACAGTCACAGAAACATGGAGAAGAAGGTCCAGAGAGTTTCCATATGCCTCCTGCCCCCACACAGGCACAGCCTCCCCCACCACCAACCTCCCAGGCTGGAGACGTGCATTTGTGCCGGGCGATGAACCCGCACGGACGCATCCGATGGTCCGGATCCCGGAGCTCACTACGGGGCTCCCTCCTGGGGCCACTCACTCCGTGGGTTTGGACAAACGTGTGATCGCAGGCATCTGCCCTGTGGTGTCCCCCGGAGCAGTTTCACTGCTAAACATCCTCTGTGCTCTGCCTGTTTGTCCTTCTCTCCCGAAGCCCCTGGCTACCTGTCATCGTTCTACTGTCTCCGTAGTTTTGCCTAGAATGTCATCTAGTTGGACTCACGCGGTGAGTAGCCTTTTCAGACTGGCTTTGCTCCCTTAGTGCTGTGGATTCAAGCTGCTTCCCTGTCTTTTCATGTCTTGATGCTTCCTTTTCTGTTTTAGCGCTGAGTGACACTCCGCTGCCTGGAAGTGCCCAGTTTATCCATTCACCGACTGAAGGGTATCTTGATCGCATCCCCGTTGGGCCAGTGAGAGGAAAGCTGTGTGAACCTCTGAGTGCAGGTTTCCGTGTGGACGAAGGAGTTCAGCTCTTTTGGGCAGGTACCAAGGTGCGTGCACACTGGGTCACAGGGTCAGAGCCCATGTTTACATTTGTAAGCAGCTCCCAAACTGTCTCCCGAAGTGGCCGTGCTATCTGCATCCCCTCCAGCAGCGAATGAGCGTTCCTGCAGCCCCACGTCGTCACTGGTCCTTGATGCTGCCGGTGTTCTGGAGGCCGGCTGTTCTAACAGGCGCGTGAAGGTGTCTCCTCATTTTAACTTGTATTTCCCTGACGACTGTGACGGGGCATCTTCTCATATGTGTATCTGCCATCTTCCGAGGGGTCCACGAAGGTCTCTGACCCACTTTTAAACTGGGCTTTTCTTATGGTTGACTCTTAAGCGTTCTTCGTATTTTTCCCTTTATCAAATGTGTTTTTTGTAAATATTTCCTCCCAGTCTGTGTCTTCTCTTCTCATCACTCTTGACAGTGTTCTTTTGCAGAGCAAAAAAAATTTAATTTTAAGAAAGTCTAGCTTACTAATTCTTTCACAATGTATACCTTTGGTGTGGCTCAT
Organism: Homo sapiens; assembly: GCF_000001405.40. NCBI lineage: Eukaryota > Metazoa > Chordata > Mammalia > Primates > Hominidae > Homo > Homo sapiens. Next base: position 32,563 of record NT_187617.1, on the reverse strand, counting down.
CTAGATTTCTTCCTACGTTTTTTTCTAGGAATTTTGTAGTTTTGTGTTTTATGTCTAAGTCTGAGACTCATTTTGAGTTAATTTTTTGTGAAAGGTGAAAGGTCTGAGTCTAGACTCATTTGTTTGCATGTAGGTGCGCAGTTGTTCACCATTTTTTGAAAGACCATCTTTCTCTATTGTATCGCCTCTGCTCCTCTGTCAAATATCAGTTGACTGTATCTATGTGGCTCTAGGTCTGAGGTCTCTGTTTTGCTCCGTTGATTTGTCTCTTCCTTTGCCAATATCACCCTTTCTTTGTAGTGAGCTGTGCTAACTATTCTGGGTCTTTTGCCTCTCCACATCAACTTTAAAATCAGTTTGTCAATATCCACAAAATAACTTGCTGAAATTTTGACTAGGATAAAATTGAATCTATAGATCAAATTGGGAAGAATGAACATCTTGACAATATTGAATCTTCTGTCCATGAACATGAGAGAAGAGCTGAGAGTTCAAGCAACCTCGCCTCTTGAGTTGCTTGAACCTGGGAGGCAGAGGCTGCAGTGAGCCTTGCAGTGTCCTCAAGGAGAGAGGTCTCTCTCCTTGCCTTGTTCCTGATCTCTATTTCTTTATTCTTGTTTGATTTTGTTGATCAGAGATTTGTAGTTTTCCTTATATGGAACTTGTACATATTTTATTAGATTTATACCTACGTATTTCATTTGAGGGAACTAATGTAATTGTATTATGTTTTTAATTTCAAATTCCTTGTTCGTTGCTAGTATACACAAAAGCAAATGACTTTTGTATGTTAATCTTATAATCTGCAAACTTGCTATAATTGCTTATTAGTTCCAGGAGGGTTTTCTTTGTTGTTTTCTTGGTCAATTCTTTTGGATTTTCTACATAGATAATCATGTTATCTGTGGACAGTTTTATTTCTTCCTTTCCAATCAGTATACTTTTTATTTCCCTTTTTTGTCTTATTGCATTAGTTAGGATTTCTCGTGTGATATTGAAAAGAGGTGAGAGAGGACATCCTTGCCTTGTTCCTGATCTTGGTAGGAAAGCTTTGAGTATCTCACCATTATTATTGTAGATATTCTATGGCAAGTTGAAGAAGTTCTATATTCCTAGTTCACTGAGTTTTTATCATGGATGGGTGCTGGTTTTTTGTCAAGTGATTTTTCTGCATCTCTTGATGCGATAATGCAATTTTTCTTCCCAAGAATGTTGACGTGATGGATTACATTATTCATTTCCAAATGTTGAACCAGATTTGCACACCTGGGGTAAGTCCCATGTGGTCTTGGTGTGTAATTCTCTTTCTACATTATGGAATTGAATTTGATGATATTTAGCTGAGGATTTTTGCATCTATGTTCATGAGATATATTGGTCTGTGGTTTTTTCTTCATCTTGTTGTGGTAGTAGGGTGATGCTGGCCTCATAGAATGAGTTTGGAAATATTTTCTCTGCTTCTATCTTCTGAAAGAGGTTGTAGAGAATTGGCACAATTTATTCCTCACATGTTAAGCAAAATTCACTAGTAAACCCATCTAGATTTGATGTTTTCTGATTTGGAAACTTGTTAATAAATAAATTAATTTTGAGACAGTCTCACTCTGTTGCCCAGGCTGAAGTGCAGTAGTGTGATCTCAGTTCACTGCAGCCTCTGCCTCCCAGGTTCAGGCAATTCTCCTGCCTCAGCCTCCCAAGTAGCTGGGATTACAGGTGTGTGCCAACACATCTGGCTAATTTTTTGGGGATTTTTAGTAGAGACGTGGTTTCGCCATGCTGGCTAGGCTGGTCTTGAACTTCTGGCCTCAAGTGATCCTCCCGACTTGGCTTCCCAAAGTGCTGGAATTACAGGCATGAGCCATGGTGCCTGGCCTGGAAAGTTGTTAGTTATTTATTCAATTTCTTCAATAGATACGGGTCTATTTAGATTGGCTAGTTCTTCTTGTGTGAGTTTTGACAGACTGTGTCTTTCAAGGAGTTGGTCCATTTCATCTAGGTTACAAATGGGCATAGAGTTGTTCATAGTACTCCCTTATAATCCTTTTACATAGTGATGTCCCCTCTTTCATTTCTGATATTCATTTGTGTCCTCTCTCTTACTTTCTTAGCCTAGCTAGAGGCATATCAATTTTCTTTGTCTTTTCAAATAACTAGCTTTTGGTATCATTGCTTTTCTCTATTGATTTTCTGTCTTCAATTTTATTGATTTCTGCTGTAATTTGTGTTATGTCTTTTCTTCTGCTTACTTTGGATTCAATTTGCTCTTCTTTTTCTAGTCTCCTAAGATGACTAGGTTAGGTAATTGGTTTTAGATCTTCCTTCTTTTCTAATATATATACATGCTATAAATTTCCCTCTAAGTACTGCTTTTGTTGCATCCCACAGATTTTGATAAGTTGTGTTTTCATTTTCATTTAGCTCAAAACATTTTGAAATTTCCCTTGGTATTTCTTGTCTCATGTGTTATGTAGAAATGTGTTGTTTAGTCTCTGTGTATTTTGTGATTTTTTAGTTACCTTTCTGTTACTGGTTTTTAGTTTAGCTCCATTGTGGTCTGAGAGCAGACATTGCCTGATTTCTATTTGCTATGGTTTGCCTCTGTCTCCCCACCCAAATCTCATCTGAAATTTGTAATCCCCACAATTTGAGATGAGATTTGGGTAGGGACACAGAGCCAAACCATATCAAACAGAAATCAGGCAATGTCTGCTCTCACCCAGGGAGGGACCTGCTGGGAGGTGATTGGATGATGGGAGTGGTTTCCCCCATGCTGTTCTCATGATAGTGAGTTCTCACGAGATCTGATGGTTTAAAGGGTATGACTTCCTCCTTCGCTCTCTCTCTCCTGCCACCACGTAAGACATGCCTTGTTTCCCCTTTGCCTTCCACCATGGTTGTAAGTTTCCTGAGGCCTTTCCCAGCCATGTAGAACTGTGAGTCAATTAAACCTCTTTTCTTTATAAATTACCCAGTCTCAGATAGTTCTTTTATAGCAGTGTGAAAGTGGACTAATACACAATTCTTTTACATTTGTTAAGGTATGATTTATAACCCAAATGTGGTCTGTCTTGGTGAATGTTCCAGGTGAGCTCCAGAAGGATGTTATTCTGCTGTTGGATGAAGTAGTCTAGTCTATAGATGTCAATTATATTCATTTGATTGATGGTGTTGAGTTTGACTTTAGTGATTTTTTTCTTTTGCCTACTGGATCTATCCATTTCTGATAGAGAAACATTGACGTTTCCAACTCTAATAGTAGACTCATCTATTTCTCCTTGCATTTCTATCCGTTTTGCCTTATGTAGTTTGATGCTCTGTTGGCAGTCACACCCACTTTCAGGATTGTTATCTTTTTGGAGAAATGACCCTTTTATCATTGTGGAATGCTCTGCTTCATCCCCGACCGTCTCCTCACTCCGAAGTGTACTGTCTGAAATTAATATAGCTACTCCCACTTTCTTAGTGTTAGCAGGGTAGAAATCTCTCTATCCAGTTACTTTTAATCTACATGTACCTATATTTAAAGTGGGTTTCTTATAGACAATATCTAGTTGGGTCTTGCTTCCTGGACAGTCTATCTTTTAACTGGTGCATCTTCATTATTCACATTCAAGGTAATTATGGATACAGTTGGGTTAATATCTACCATGTCTGTTACTGTTTTCTATTTGTTGCCCATGTTCTCTGTTCTTATTTTTGTCTTCTACTCTTTTTCTGTCCTTTGTGGTTTTAATTATATGATTCCATTTTCTCTCCTTTCTTAGCATATCAGTTATACTTTTTAATTTTTTTAATGGTTGCCCTAAAGTTTATAACATACATGAACAACTAATCCAGGCCCATTTTCAAATAATACAATACCACTTCATGGATAGTGTGACACCTTCTAATAACAAAATCACTTTAATTTTTTCCTCCCATCCTTTGTGTCATTGCTGCAATTGATTTCACTCACACATTAGCATACCTAGGCAAGCATGTGTATATACACATGTCAGCATACATATTTAATGTATATAAGCACACATGACCAAATGCATTGTTGCTATTACTTTGGACAAACTTATCTATTAGATCAGTGGAGAATCGGAACAGTGTTTTTATCTTACTTTACTTTTTCCTCTTCCAATATTCTTCCTGTCTTTGGATCTGAGTAGTATTCTCACTCTAAAGAGCTTCCTTTCTCATTTCTCACAGGGCAGGTTTATTGACAACTGATTCCCTCAAGTTTTGTTTTTCTGGGAAAGTCTTTTTTTTCTCCTTCACTTTAAAGGATAACTTCACAGGGTACAGAATTGTAGGTTGGGGTCTATTTTTTCCTTTCTCAACACTTTAAATATTTCGTTTCATTCTTTTCCTGCTTGTGTGGTTTCCGAGCTTTCAAATGAAATGTCTGTCTTTGCTCCTCTGCAGCCGAGGCATCTGCATCCTCAGTTTGTCACTCATTCATTCACTTCTACCCCAAGTGGGCCCACAGCTGCTGCTGGAGAACGGAGGGGACGTCACCTTGTTCTTGCCTGCAGAAGCTGCAAGTCCAACAGCAAAGGGGACCTACTGCACGAGAATGAGGAGAGCTGCAGGGTGGGGGGCTCAGGCACCAACCCCCACCCCCCCCACCACCAAGGGCCTTCTAGGCAAGGCTCTCATGTGTGGAACGGAGGCCAGCTGGAGGGCAGGGCCAGGCACGTGTCCCAGCTGCTCCTCAGCGTGGCTTCCCCTCCCGAACAGAGCAGCTCACACAGTAACAGTGACAATAATCACAGTGGCTAGCGTGAGGTCGACACTCCTCGGGCGGGCACCATGCTCCTGTCGGACTCACATGAGTCAGCATTTGGATAACCCCTGCCTGTACCTCCACAGGGTTCTTAGGACAATGGGAAGAGCCTGTGTGAGTGTGGGAAAGGCAGCTGCAGGTCCCGTGCTGAGAAGGTCCCTCGCCTAGAAGCCAGTGCCTCTGGTCTGGTTCAGGCCCTGTCTGCACAGTGAGTCCAGCTGGCATCCATAGGAAGAAAGGGTGTTCCCCGGGCGTGCTCCAGAAGCAGCTACACATCTGTCGGGCTGCAGCAGAGGCTGCATCTCAGCGTGTTCCCTGGATGCCCCTGACCCTGTGACGGCTCAGAAACAGCAGCTGTGGGCAAACCACGGTGACGGCCATGTGGGCCCAGCTCCCTCCTGCTGCTCTGGCCAGAGCCCGTTGCCGTGGTGGCAGAGGCATCTCTGGATTTCCTGCTGCAGCAGGACAGAGTCCACATCAGGACTTGAATGTTCCCTGCAGCACAAGGAGGCGAGAGAGGTGGGTTCGAGTCCCGCTCCTGCACGGGTGAGGGTGGTGTCTGGATGTGGAGGCCAGGGCCTGGAAGCCTTCACCCCTCACCAGCAAGGTGGGCAGGTGCTGCGGCCGGGCCTGCAGTTCTGCTCCCCCGCTGCCCGGGTCCCCGGTTCTGCTCCCCCACTGCCCGGGTCCCCAGGCATGCACGGAGTCCTGGACTTTCACTCCCCTGGGCGGTCAGTGGGAGAGAGAGGCCTGGGGTCTCTGCTGAGGAATCATCGTGTCACTCGCCCTCCCTTCAGAGTTCGGGAAACTGAGGCAGGAGAGGCTGAAGTTGCCAGAGGTCACGCGCTAAGGAGCTGCAGAGCCAGCTTTGCGTCCCTCCCCTGTGGGGCCCCAGGAGGGCTGTGAGGCTGGGGAACCCACTGCGGGGTCCGGAGCTCCAGGATCTGGTGCTGAGGCCCTGGGAGGAAGAGGGAACCTACGGACTGCTCGTGGCTCCCCTACTCCCGGGGAAATGCAGGGAAACTGAAGCCTGGGCTGTCCCCTCTCCCAGCTGGCAGAGGGCCCTCAGGTACGATGGAGAGTGAGACATGCAGGGTGGGGAGGGCAGGGCAGGTGGCAGGGAGACATGGAGGGCGGGGAGGGCAGCAGGGACAGGCAAAAGGAAGCAGCCCCACCCCTCTATGCCAGGAGCACCCCATACCATGACTGTGACAGCCACAGATGCCTCCAGACATGACCACGTGTTCCCTGGGGACAGAACCACCGGGCAGAGCACGTCCAGGCTTCCGGGGATCCCCGGAGGTGGCTGCCTCCTCACGGCGTCTCCCCATCCTTCCCCATCTCCCTTCTCCCTCCCCCGTCCCTGGAAAGGTCTGCTTCAAACCTGTGAGAAATGACTAGGGGCGGCTGTAAAATCAAAACCTTCCCCTCAGGCCCAGAGGAAAAATGAGCCACTTCCATTTCTTGGCGCTTTTCCCTGTGAGCCTTGGACAAGCTTCCCGAGGCCTGGCCTCCGCCCAAGCAGCCGGTCCCTCCCAGGGGCCTCCCCGTCGGGCTTCCTCGTCCTAAATGGAGTTGGAGGCGCCTCAGCAAACCCAGCGATGGGGCGAGGATTTTCAGAGCGGGCCCTACCTGATGATGGGAGGGATCATGTTTTCTCCAATATTGCCAGAATAGCAGTGTTGTAAAGGTTGCTACAGAAACACCTCGGGTCAGCGCCGAGTCCAAAATAGAGCGTCTAGACAAACTCCTACTGTCTGACCTTCGACGTGTTTCCTAATCCATCCAATCTTGCCAAGCAAATTGGTGACTAAGCAGCAATTCCCTTTACACTCTGTCATAAAGGCCTGACGAGGCCCAGGCGCTGTGCTACATTTCAGTCTGGCTGTGGCGGCCGCTCCACCCGCACGGCTCCCACGTGGCTTCCCAGCGCGATGTGTGCCTGGGTCGCCATGAACTAATTTCAAGGCCGAGTCCAAAAGCCACAGGGCTGCCGGAAAACAGAACTCACTTTCAGCCAGCAGGGCCCCAGAGTTGACATAAAATGTGAAGAGGGAGTCTGGAGGCGGCTCTGGCGAAAACAAAATAGAAGTTGGGGACGGGCCGGCCCCAGTGGCCTCCCTCCGTGCAGGGGCTGGGAGGGGGTGGGGCAGCGGTTCTGCTAAATGAATAGAGCCAGCTGCTTGGCGAGGCCGAGCCCCTCCTCTGTCTCCCCTGCAATGCTCTGTCCTGAGCCTCTCAGTCACCTGTGTGAAGGGACTCAGACGCAAGGAGAGTTGTGCTCTGCTCTAAATAAGCACAGTGGAGACCCTGATGTGGTGGAATGGGGCGGCTTCCTTTTGCCCTGAGTCCGAGGCTCTGGGTTTCGGGCACTTGGGCTGGGCATGCTGCAGGTGGGACGGGGCTGAGGCTCCACTGGGCAGGGGCATGGAGCTGCAGAGCGGGCACTTTGCGGTGAGGGAGGTGGTGTAGGCTGGGCAGAGTGGGACGTGGGCGGCCTGGGGGACACTGAGATTCATGGGTCGGGGGCAGGGGCTGCCCCGGGTGCTGCCGCGGGTGCTGCCGCCGGCATGGCCACGCATCTGGCTTCTGTGCCTCTGGTGACCAGGCTATTTCCACAGATGGCAAAGCTGGCTGTAATTGGGGTTGCTTCCCCAGGGACAAACCACTGGTCCTAAAATGGAAGGCGAGGGAGGGGAGAAGACTGTTTTACTGGAAAAGAGGCCACTTTGCCAGAACCACGTTGGTGCCACAAAGTGAGGAATACCTGTCTCTCCACACTGGTGCCAGTTGGCCCATCGCTGTAGCTTAACTGTCCAAAAAAGGAAAAAGAAACACTTCCACCAGATAGTATAACTCTTGGACCGGAGAGTGAAGTGGAAGCCTCACTCTAAACCTTTCTGCAGCTGCACGCTGGGCCTGGCCGGAGTCCCGCCGAGCAGAGCGGAAAGTGAGCCGGTACCAGTGCTCGTGGCAGGGTGAGCCTTGCGTGTGCTGCGTCTTGAAGGGGGCGGCTTTGCGGCTTAGCATGTCGCTTTTCTATACATACCAGAAACGCAAGTTTTCCAGAGTCCTCTGGCCAGAGGTGGGTGAGGCATTGGCAGTTCTTCAGAAGACACAGAGAAGCCTACATGTTTCTCTGAATTTCTCATAAACTGCCCCTGGCTGGCGCTGAAGCTCCTTCAGAGGCAAAGAGCTTCAGACGGGCGATGCCTGCCCGTTGGCCCCTGGCAGACCTGCCAGCCTCCAGGCTGAGAGCAGGGTTCCAGCAGCATCTGAGCAGCCAGGCCCAGGTCTAGCCACCGCAGCCCGCACAGGCCTCTGCAGCCCCCGACTCAGCGGCATGGGTAAGCTTGGCTCCGCGGGGCCACAGCAGAGCCTGGAGACACAGAGGCTATCCCTGCAGTGGCACCTGGGAGATGCCACTAAGCCGTTGCCTGCAGCCATGACTCAGCCCAGCAGTCCAAGTGCTAGACGGAGAGCTGCTCCCATCTACGGGGTGCCCACTGGGTGGGCAGGAGTGGGGCAGGCGAGGGGAAAGCTCCTGCCCACATCTCCTGGGCTCTGCGGCCTGTGCTGCTGGGTGCAGGGGGGCAGTCCAGGGACTGAGCAGGACTGTGCCACGGTGAAGAAAATCCACCTCCACCAGGGCCTCCACCACCTCCATCAGGACTAGAAACTGAGCAGGACTGTGCCACAGTGAAGAAAATCCACCTCCACCAGGGCCTGACCCCTGCTTGGTGCTGAGTCTGCCTTGGTTCCCTCACCGGAAGGTGGGGAAAACGAGAGCCCCTCCCACAGATGTGTGTCCACACTGATAGTGAGGCTGGCGCTGCACAGCCCTGCCTGGGGCCCTGACACGCACGGCAGAACCTCCATAGGGGGCCGCTGGCCACCCCCCAGGTCTCCACTGCCACAACCTGGTGTTCGGGACTGGCCAAGGCCCGCAGGTGCCGGGGCAGCAGGGAGCCCCCGTCACAGCAGTGAAAGACACCAAGGGCCCCGTAGCCCCGTGCCAGGACTCTGGCCTCAGCTCCTGCAGCCTGCCCAAACAGCGCTTCCCGGGGGGCACTGTGAGGTCCCCCCAGTGCTGTCTCTGTAGAAGGACTTAACCTCACCTGAGGACTGGACGTCCCTTACCACCTCAATCCCGAGCCTGTGGTGTTTCCGCTTGCTTTAAACCAGGACCTATGGAGAAGCGCACCTGCTCCCCTGGCTTCGGTGTGGCCGCACTCACGGTGTCGGGAGGACGTGGACGTGCTGTACTGCACCTTTAAAGGAAAGTGCTACGGCTCCGCACGCCTTCCCCCCACCACCCAGTGCCATGGCTCCGCACGCCTTCCCACCACCCAGTGCCATGGCTCCGCACGCCTTCCCCCCACCACCCAGTGCCATGGCTCCACACGCCTTCCCCCACTCCAGTGCCACGGCTCTACATGCCTTTTCCCCCCCAGTGCCACGGCTCCACAAGCCTTTTCCCATCCTACAATTGTCATGTATTTTTCATGAAATGAGTTATTTGAAAGAAACTAATATTGTCCAAAATATAGAACTTCTTTTGGAAGTTTTGAAGAATCTTGGACTCCAAGGGGCTCCTCTTTTGAAAGCTGTTCCCTTCTCTGACCACAGGGGCTGGGAGGGGCGTGCTAGGCCTGCACGGAGCCTGGGCGGGGTGTAGGAGGACCTGGAGGAGTGCTGGAGCCAGGCAAGCTGGGCTGCTACCAGGAACCCGAACCCCTCCAGACACCCCGGGAGAGGTGGGCTGTGAAGCCAGGCTCAGAGCAGAGGACACAGGCAGGGAGGCACCCCCGGGGCTTGGCACAGCAACCAGAGTGCAGGGTGTCCACCGTGCGGGAGTGCAGGGTGCAGTGGTGTGGAGTGGGGATGAGGATATGGGGTGCGTGGAGTGGGGATGAGGATATGGGGTGCATGGAGTGGGGATGAGGATATGGGGTGCATGGTGTGGGAGTGTGTAGGGGCACAGCGGGTGTGGGGGGTATGGAGTGTGGGCTGAGGGGGTGGGAGGTATGGAGTGTGGGCTGGGGGGGTGGGGGATGCTGGGTGTGTGGGAGTGTACGGGAGCACAGGGGGTGCAGGGGGTATGGAGTGTGGGGTGGGGGCTGCTGGGTGCGGGATGCTGGGTATGTGGGAGCGTGGGGTGTGGGAGTGTGTGGGGACACAGTGGGAGCATGGGGTGTGGGAGTGTGCAGGGACACAGTGGGTGTGGGGGGTATGGAGTGTGGGGTGCGGGATGCTGGGTATGTGGGAGCATGGGGTGTGGGAGTGTGCGGGGACACAGTGGGAGCATGGGGTATGGAGTGTCAGGTGGGGGCTGCTAGGTGTGCGGGGGTGTGGGGACAGGGTTTGCGGGGCAGGGGGTTGCAGAAGCGTGTAGGATGCGAGGGTGCTGGGTGCATGGTGCATGGTGCAGGGTGCAGGGTGGGGGGCTGTGGGGAAGGTATGGGGGGTTTCGGGTGCAGTGGGGAGGTGCAGGGGGTGTGGGGTGCAGGGGTGCCTCCAGCCCCAGACCTGCTGGGGTTGCACTGGTTCTGCTGCTGACAGGTGACCCACCTGCCCCTGTGCGCAAGTCACTGAAAGTTTTGGAGCCTGGTTTTCTTACCTGAGAAATGGGGCTGATGATCGTCCTGACTGATCGATTGGACCACCCGGTACACCACTGGCCTCTCCGATCCACAAGCTTCGAAAGCATTTTCATATCAGGTGGGCTTCCCTCCAGGTGCAAAGCCCCCGAGTTTCCTGACTGCTGACTCCCACTTGCTGTCCAAGCTTCTGCAGGTCTGCAGGGGGGCTGGTTACCCCGAGACTCGTGTCCAGGTGATCTGGGAGGTGCCACATGGGAGCACATAGGGATGGGGCACGCAGGGGCCAGGGGGACATGGGGAGCATGTGGAGGCATGTGACATCATGTGGGGCGCGCAGGGGCACTTTAGTGGAAAGGAGGAACAAGTGCTTTTTGGAGCAGCGGATGCACCTGCCCAGCCCCCAGCACACCCAGTGCCAGCAGGAGCAGCAGCAGAAGAGCAAGCAGCATGGGTCCTGCTCACGTGGGCCCAAGCCTCCCCAAGGCCTGCAGCTTGGCTCCCGGCCCCTTCTGCCCAGGCTGCCTGCTCCCAGCTGGGGTTTCCCGTCTACACAAGCTCTGCCTCTCTAGCCCTCAGGCCACCTGAACCCACCACAAAGGCATCGGTCCCTTCAGGGCTCCCAGGGTTCAAGGTGCAGCTGGGTTGAACACCACCAGGGAGTGCTGTGTAGACGAGGCCTTCAGGGGCAGGGAGTGCTGTGTAGACGAGGCCTTCAGGGGCAGGGAGTGCTGTGTAGATGAGACCTTTGGGGGCAGGGAGTGCTGTGTAGACGAGGCTTTTGGGGGCAGGGCCTGAGGGCCATCTCTGCACCAGAAAAGTGTTGTGAACTCCAGAGTAGGGAAAGATGGGAACACAGAGGGGGAGCTGTGGGTTCAACTGTTTCCCCAGAAGCATGTGGAAGTCCCAGCCCCTGAGACCTGAGAGTGGGACCTCATTTGGAAACAGGATCCTGCAGATGTGGTCAAGACAAGCACTGGGCTGGGCGGGGCCCAAGTCCAGGAACAGGCATCCTCCTAAGAGGAAAGAGACCAACACGGTGCCATGGGAGGCAGGCGAGGTTGGAGCAACGGCACAAGCCAGGGAAGCTGAGAGCAGCAGATGCTGGGACAGGTGGCTAGGAGCCACCGGTGCACCCGGGGAGCACGTATGCCCTGCCCACGCCCAGGAGCACGGTGGGGGGGGCACGCCCTGCCCACGCCCAGGAGCACCCGGGGGGGGGGGCACGCCCTGCCCACGCCCAGGAGCACCCTGGGGGCATGTCCTTCCTATGCCCAGGAGCACCCGGGGAGCATGCCCTGCTGTGCCAGGGTTTCAGACTTTGGCCTCCAGGGTTCTGAGAGGATAAATTGTTAAGTCCCCCAGTTTGTGGAACATTGACCTGGCAGCCCCAGGACCCTAAAACAATGGGTTAAGCAGAAAAACATGGTTCCTGGGGGTTGCAAGGGGACTCCACGGTGCATCTGTGGGTATCCGCTCTAGAAGGTATCCGCTCTAGAAGGTAGCGTCCTCGCTGAGCTCTGTGCAGGGGCACAGGTCAGGGCTGTGGAGAGCCACAGGGCCACTCCGTCTGGCTGCACATAGAGCCTCCATGTCCTCAGGCTGCACACAGGCAGCCCCTCTGCAGCATATGCGGCCATGTCTCCTGCAGCTCCGAGAGAGAATGGCTCGGGGCTCAGGGGTGGCGGCTGTCATCAGAGGTGCCTTTTCATTTTGCTCTTTCTCTCCCAACTCCAGGCCCTTGCGAGGTGATGAAAAACCTGCTGAAATAGCACAGAGCAGCCCCTCCCGCGGTGGTTCATAGCATTCATCCCCTGAGAGCCCACACAGGCCACACCACCGGCCCACAGAGGGGAAGCTGAGGCAGGAGCCTAATGACTCGCCCCAGGCCTCAAAACGATGTGCACTGGGGCTGTTTCCACTATTAAGTCAACAATCTCTGCAGTTTCTGCTTAATGGTCTCAATTAAGGTTCTCTTAATAAAGAACATTTGTGGAGAAGATGGGTGGGGCTGACACAGTTCTGCGGTCCACAATGCCTCTGAATCCCAGTGAAAACAGGCTAGAGCCTTCTCAGCTCCCAAGGCACAACCAAAATACAGACAGACAGGAGCGCCCCAGGGAAGGAGAACTGGCGTGGTGTCCACACAGGCATCAGGAAGTGTGTGAGCCTGCGAATGTGCACCTGTGTGCATGTGGTGGCATGTAGGTGGAATGTAGGTGGCACGTGTGCATGAATCGAGTGCATATACATGTGAATGGTATGTGTGCACATGTAAGCATATGTATGCCATATGCGTGTACACGTTGCATGTGAGTATATGTATACCATGAGTGTGCACTGTGCATGTGAGCATATGCATGCTGTATGTGTACACTGTGCATGTGAGCATAGGTGTACCGTGTGTGTGTGCACTGTGCATGTGAGCATATGCATGCCGTGTGCGTGTATGCACTGTGCATGTGTGCATATGTACGGTGTGTGCATGTGTGCACTGTGCATGTGAGCTTACGTATGCTGTGTGCACTGCGCATGTGAGCATATGTATGCTGTGTGCACTGTGCATGTGAGCATATATATGCCATGCCTGTGCACGTGAGCATATGTATCCTGTGTGCATGTGTGCACTGTGCATGTGAACATATGTATGCCATGTGTGTGCACTGTACATGTGAGTATATGTAGGCCGTGCCTGTGCACTGTGCATGTTAGCATATGTATCCTGTGTGTGCGTGTGCAGTGTGCATGTGAGCATATATATGCCATGTGCGTGCACACCGTGCATGTGAGCACATATATGCTGTGTACTGTGCATGTTAGCATGTGTATGCCATGTATGCGTGTGTGCACTATGCATGTGAGCATATGTGTGCTGTGTGCACTGTACATGAGCATATGTACACTGTGTGCAGCATGCATGTGAACATATATATACCATGTACGTGAGCACTATGCAAGTTAGCATATGTATGCCGTGTGTGGGCACTGTGCATGTGAACATATGTATGCCATGTGCATGTGTGCACTGTACATGTGAGCATATGTACGCTGTGTGCGGGCACTGCCTGTGAGCATATGTATGCCATGTGTGCAGTGTGCATGTGAGCATGTCATGTGTGCACTGTATGTGAGCATGTTTGCCATGTATGCATGTGTACGGCACATGTGAGCATGTGTATGCCATGTGTGCATGTGTGCACTGTGCATGTGAGCATATACCATGTGTGCATGTGGACTGTGCATGTGAGTATATGTATGCCGTGTGTGTGTGGGCACTGTGCATGTCAGCATATGTATGCCGTGCATGTGCACTGTGCACGTGAGCATATGTATGCTATCTATGTGCATGCACTGTGCATGAACATATGTATATGCCGTGTGCACTGTGCATGTGAGCGTATGTATGCCATGCATGTGCATTGTGTATGTAAGCATATGCCATGTGTGCACTGTGCATGTGTGCATATGTATGCCATGTGTGCATGTGCACAGTGCACATGTACGTGCCATGTGTGCACATATGTGCATGTGTCCCTCTGTGTGTCAACACCCATGTCTGTACCTGCTGCTCTCTTTGGAGAGAAATACCTACGTGCTCACCTTTGGCCTTCATGGAGTGACTCACTGGCCCCGGTGGGTGCTGTCTCATGGATGGGCTTGAGTTCTGAAGGGCGCCGTCCAGGCAGGAGCAGGTGGAGAAGCCATAGCTACTCACTTCCAAAACTTCCTTGACTGCTCAGGGTTCAGGCCTCCCCATGTAAAGAGGGCCCTCCGGCGGGGCTTCCTTGTGTCCACACCAGCCTGGGTCTCAGGAAGACCTTGAGGGGCAGGACCAAACAGGTGAGGGGGACAGACCCTTAGTCCATCCCTCAGGGTTGCTGGAGCCCCAGAAGCTCCTGCCTAGACCCCCATCCAAAAGTCAGACCAGCAGAAGTCAAGCAGACCAAACTTAGACTAATGCGTGGGTGACTGATGGCCTTTTAATAATCCAGACGCATCTGCATTTTCAGACCAGGATCTCATTTAACACAAACAGCTCTTTAATTGGTTGCATTCCAGGGGCTTAACAAAGTGGGAACTGCAGCATGTTGGGGGAGGGAGGAGTCAGCCCATGCTGCGGGGTGGCTGGCCCCCCATTGGCCCCCACGGGGCACCCCAGATGCCCCTACCATGGCCTACTGTCCACGCCAAGCCCTCCACGGTGGTGGCCAACACACGGGGGCTCCTGAGGGCTGCCTGTGGCAGGGCACTCAGAAATGGGGGTGACCGAGGCTCCTGCGGGGGTGCGCAGGCCTCCCTGGGCACAGATGCTGCCTGGGCTGTGAGGGAGAAGCTGTCTGCTGGTGGCTCTGTCCTCTCCAGGAGGCCCTGGGGTGAGGGCAGCAGTTGAGGCTGCATAAGAGCACTTCACACCCAGGGCTCCGTTCAGCCAGGTCATAGGGCCCCCCCGGCTCCTGGATCCACTGGGACCGCCCAGCAGAGGGAACCGCAGCCGTGCATATGGAGCGGGAGAGGCCGCAGGGCTGCAGCCCGAGCTCAGATCGAGGAAGGCTCCATCCCTCCTGTCCTCATCACAGGGTGACATGGTTCGGGTGAGCCCCCGTCCTGGGACTTTGGCTAACAAAACAAAGACAGGCTTTGCACGACTGGGGGACCCTGGGCAGCACAAGAGCAGCACCCCCAAGATGGGGAGGAATGAAGCTGGGCGTGAGACGCTCGGCCCTTGAGGGCGGGTCTGGAAGCCGGGTTCCCCATGTGGCATCCACGCAGCTGCAGCTGCCTGGGATCACGGCACACGCGACTCTCATGTGTCGTTGCTGAGGAGCAATTCCCTATTACCTCTGTCTTCTCCTCAACTTCTGACTCTGCTGTTGCCTTCTTGCAGCATCTACATCATTTCCTCCAGCAGAACTCACTTGCCCCAGGCAGCGACTCCAGGCGCCTGTCTCAGGCTGCAGGCACGGGGACCCGTGGCTGCCACACACAGCTTGAGGGCAGGAGGCCCCTGCCCCGACCGTCTACAGTGGCACATCCAGCTGCAGCAGTGAGAAGCCTGTGAGGCCGCAGCTCACCCCTGTGCTGGTACCGCCACACGCGCTCACGTACACACGTGCTCATGTACACACATGCATGTTACAGGCCTGCGTGGGTGGACTCAGGTGTGTGGGCGTCCATCCTGAATCGGGACAGAAAAGTCATTTGTAGACCATGCATGACCTCAAAATCTTTCCAAATTAAATCTTCAAAAATCGGAAACAAAACAAAACCAACATCTAACCTGCTCCTCAGCAACGCTACGTGCCCCAGCGTGGACAGTTCCCAGGCCCACGTGCTTAGTCCTGCAGATCAGACACGATTCCAATAAAATCAGCAGGAGGTAGAACACTTTATAGCCATTTTCTAGACACACACTGTCTGATGGAAATCTAATGGGAACCACATATGCTATTTTAAGGTTTCTAATGTCCACATTAAAAAAAGAATAAAAAATAGGTGTCTTTTTTTTTTTTTTTTTTTTTTAAAGACAGAATCTCACTCTGTCCCCAGGCTGGAGTGCAGTGGCACGATCCCGGTTCACTGCAAGCTCCGCCTCCCGGGTTCACGCCATTCTCCTGCCTCAGCCTCCCGAGTAGCTGGGACTACAGGCACCCGCCACCATGCCCGCCTAGTTTTTTGTATTTTTAGTAGAGACAGGGTTTCATCTTGTTAGCCAGGATGGTCTCAAACTCCTGACCTCATGATCCGCCCGTCTCAGCCTCCCAAAGTGCTGGGATTACAGGCGTGAGCCACCGCGCCCGGCCAATAAGTGTCATTAGTTTTAATATTTTGTTGAACCCAATCTATAAAAAAATTATCATTTAAATCTGTAATCAATGTAAAAAATTAGTACTTGTTTCAGGTTCTTTTTTTCACAGGAAGCCTCAGCACCCGGCGTGCAGTCTTCCCATGTGCTCCCAGCAGGCGCACACGTTCCCGTGCTCCATGGCCATGCGTGCCTGGGAGACCACCATCACAGACGTGCGACTCTCCTGGGAAATCAGGGGCAGAGGACACTGTGTTCTCGACAGGCCACACAGTGAGCGCACGGTGTGGGTGCACGTGGGCGGCCCTGGATGTGCGGATGGAAAGTGAGGATGGAGAGGTTCCTGCTTCTCCAAGTAACGCAGCTGGAGGCAGGAGACGCAGTTTCCAGCGCTGGCCACGGAGCTGTGTGCACATGGCCACGTCGTGGCGGAGGGGCTCTGAAGTGAGCATTGCTGATGCCCACTCGAACCCCTGGCCTGTGCACAGGACATGGAGCCGTGTGGCAACTGTGTTAGGACACTCGGCGCGGCTGTCTTGGGACAGGAATTACCTGGTAATCACCGGAGCTTGGGCTGGGGGTCCAGGGAACTGGAGAGCAGAGGGAGAGACTGAGGTGCGGCATCACTTGCTGCTTGGCAGGCAGGAGGGCCTGTGCGAGGCCAGGGAGGAGATGGGACCTCAGTCCTGCAGCTGGCAGCTGGGTTCCTTCCACACTCGGGCAGTCCTGGAAGCAGAGTCTCTCTGGGCCCCCAGCTAGGAGCACAGACCTGCAAGGCGCCCGCAGCCTGGTGAGAATGGATAAATCTGTATTGATTTCAGCCCTGGCGGTTTTGCTGCTGATGTGGTGGTGGTCAAGAGCCAGAGCAGTGCTGCTGGAACAGGCCACCTGGTCTCTCTGTACCTGTCTCCTAACTTGTAAATGGAGGAGCTGCCAGCACCTCACGGGCCACTGGGCAATTACTCATGGCAGCGAGTGCAGGCACCTGGCCAGTTCTCAGCAGTAATGTCCACTAGAAGGTGGCTGCCAGCCTTAGCCCCCTGATGACATCACTGGCCTTTCTCCCACAATGGTGCTGGGCTGGCCTCCCTCTCTGTGTCTCTGGACCCTGCAGAATACGGGATGGTGCCCCGTGCAGACCTCAGAGCCTCTAGCGATGCCCAGGGTTGCTGTCCCATCAGGGAGGCAGAGGCTGCAAGCCCAGAGCTGTGTCTGGACAGAGGGAACCAGGCACCAGCTATAGCTCCACGGCAGGAAGACACCCTTCAGCCCCCACCCCCAAGCAAGAGGCACCTGCGGCTTAGTGGGCCCTGACTCCAGCCTGGCCAGCTCGGGGCCCAAACGATGCCTGTGGCTGCCTGGCCCCTGCAGCGTGGCACAGACGACAAGTGCATGGGGAGCAGACCTGGTGTCCATGAGCACCCAGGCAACGCGCCACCTCTCCCTCCTTCCTGGTCCTGCCACGGGGGCCTGAGCTGCGTGGGAGTCTCTTCTACTTCCTGTTGACTCAGTAACTCGGGCTCTCTCGTGAAGTCCCAGCAAGAGAAGGGAGATGAGGAGTAGGAAGGACGCGGGGCCAGTTCATCCAGCTGGTGGCTGTCATCACCGAGATCGAAGTCTCAGGCCAGGCCGGGCCCTTCAGGAGACGGTGAGGATGGACCCCATCACCGCTGGCGCTGGTCCCGCAGCCCACCCTGAGGAGGAGTCTCTCCTTGACAGGGGAGCTGGACACTGCTGTGGTCTGTGTGAGCCCAGCCACTGCCACCCAGTGAGAGGAAGGCTGGGCTCCCACAGTGTGGGGTTCTGGTGCACACCCCACAGGTCGGCGGTCCCCAAGGTCATGTCTGATTTCCATGGAGCTCTGTCAGCTGGAACTGCTCCCGGGAAGCCCCTGAACTCCTCACGCCGCCCCCCGCTCCAGACGCTCCCTTTGAGTGTGGACACCTCGGCAAGTCCAGTACCCTCGTCTGACCTCGGACCCGTCTGCATCTCCACAACACACCCAGGATGAAGCCGAGGGCTTTCTCTCTCCCACCGCACTGTGGTGGTCTTCCTTCATCCCCCAGGCCCCGCTAACAGTGGGAAGGGACAGCGGGCTGGAGGCAGGAGTGGGTGTTGGCTGTGGCCTCAGGACAGCGCAGCCAGCAGGATTTGAGCTTCTGGCCTGGCAGCACCCTCAGAAACCACCAGGTGGGCCCCAGAGGCCAAGTCCAGGGGGTCTCCGTGGGCCACGCTCCCTCTCAGGCAGCAGCCCTTGGAGGGGGCCCCAGGGGTCCCTGTGTAAAAGCGGCCTCTGCTGTGCTCACCCCGTGAGACCTGCCGGCCATGTGGCCTGTGGTGCTGGGATTTGGACACGGGCCCAGGCAGGCCCTCACAAGAGGGCGGTGGGAGCTGCAGCTGGAGCTGCTCAGAGCAGTGGGCTCTTCTCCAAATGGGTCCCCTGCCAGCCACTGTCCCAGCACCCGACTGGCCCAGAGCCATCCTCTCGGCCCCATGCACTCAGCACCGCCGCCTCCCCAAGGCCATGCTGGGGCGCCGGGCATTCTCAGACGTGGAGGCAAGGGGCTGGGGAGGCTCAGGTGAGAAGCCAGGAGCCAGCCTGCACGTCCGGCCTCTCAGGCACTCATGGTGGTCACTTGGCCTGGACACTCTAGGCCTGGGCTCCTGCTCCGTATCGATGACCTTAGCAGTCAGCTTGGGTGGGCAGGATGCCCAGGGAACCTTGAGAGATTCCATCCGTGCCCTGCGTTGGGGGCTGGGCTCCTCCCTGAACCGAGCAGCCCCCTCTCCGGTCACCTCTGCCTCCTGGGCGGCTGGTGGTCGGTGGTGGCCGGACACGCCTCGCCCCGGGCACGCTCTCGGGATGGGGCCTCCACATGGGCCTGCTGGCTGGAGGTGTCACTGGCGCCTGGCCCTCCCGGCCAGCTTCCAGCTCACCAGAATACCTGGAGCTTAGAGTAATCTCCTTCTCTTCCTCTTGTCAGCCGGCCAAGGCCCACGGAGGTAGCTTTGTTTGGGCGGCCGTCTCGCGGAGCTGTGTGAGCACAGCTGTGGAGCGGGCAGAGTCACGGGCTTGGATTTTTCACCCTCTTCTTATTTCAGTTTATACGACAGAATGACTTGCAGCTGCTTCAAAGGGCTCCACCCATAACTCCATGCGCCACATCCTAGTGGAGGAGAGGCGCCGCCAGTGCAGCTGGAGCCAATTAAACCCACCTATGCAGGCGCAGCAGACCCACCGTGCACGCAGACTCAAAGCAAAAACAGCCTCTTCACGGGCAGGGAGGCCCCGGCAAGTCCCATCACGTGGCGCAAATCAGAGGCGCAAACTCAGCCTTGTGTTCACGGCTTCCCGCCGCAGGGGCTGCAGGGTCCGCGTTCGGACGGCAGGCCTCGTATTGTGTCTTCTCACCGCCCCATGCTCCGGTGTCCACACTCTTCACCTGTTCCCTGCAGTTCATCTGAAAGCGCTTCCCCCGAGCTATTCCCCAACAAGAGGCGCTTTCCCTGCTGAGCCTCCCACAGGGCGCCTGGCCAACCTCTGCTCCCTAAGACAAACCTGGGAGGCGCAGCCAGGCATGGACAGGGTCTCAGGGCACCGAGGGCATCCTGGCCCAGTCACACTAGCACGGAGGCATGGGGCAAAGTTAAATTGGACAAGCCAACCCTCTTTAGTCTAAGGATGACAGAGGCCCTGAGGTGGCCGCACTGTACCAGACTTTGTTCTCCTGGGCACAAAAAGGACTTTTAAAAACTTTTTGCATTTATCATCATCACTCCACCATCACCAAGGTGCCTGAGATGCATAAAAAAGTATTTTTCCAAACTGGAAATCTGAAATAGAAGCACCAATAAAAACAGGTCCCAGATTTATGACCATATTTTTTCACCTCTCTTTCTCTCTTTCCCTCCCTCATATTTTTCTTTCTTCAAGTTAGCTTGGGACTACTGGAAAAAGAAGACTTGGCAGCGCGGAATGTGGGGGGCCCTGTGAGCTGTGCCCCCCAACCCCGTCTGCCCAGCCCAGCCGCAGCCCCAATTCTCGCCTTGGGCGGGCGGCTGGGCGGGTCTGAGGCCCCTGGGACTCATCTGCACGGTGCAAACAGCTGCTTTGGCAACTGAAATTAAAGATCAACTGGGAAGTAAACACAGAGGCTGCAAGACAGGGTGGAAGCTGGTTAAGAACCACATCCTTCTCTCTCTGCGATTTTGCGTGCAGTTCCCCAGGTCCTTGCAGAGGTCACCTGGCAGGGCCTCCCCTCAATCCCGACCTTTGGGCCCTGCTGCAGCCCAGTTTACCAAGATGTCCTCTGCCCAGAGGCCCCACCTGCACCACGGTCACACTGCACCAGCTGCCCACAGTGGAAACCGTGTCCCCTGGAGTGGTGCGGGCAGCCTGGCAGAGGGGTCAGGGCCACAGCTGCATAGTTGAGCTCTGCACAGGGGCAGCCTTGGAGCAGGTTGCAGAAGAGAGGAGTCCTGTGGAGTCACGGTTTCCGCCTTTTAGGGCCCCGTGGTTCTGTCAGTGCCTGGCATCCCCCAGTTGGATCTGTGGTTCGGAGTCTCTCAGGGTCCCAGCTTCCGTGGCCCTCCTGGTATCTAGCCGCTGCATCAGAAGGTGGGAGCTCTTGCTCTCTGCTTATGGCAGCAGGGATGGTTTCCCAACAGGACTGAGGTGGAAATGGGGTGGGCAATCCCTGGAGAGGCCTCTGCTCCATTTAAAACACTTGAACTTCACAGACACTGAGGACTTCATTTCATAACAGCCTGGAATGTAGAGCCCTCCCTGGTGAAAAATTAGAACAGAACCACGTTGCCGACGGTGCTGGTCCTCCAAGTTAAACACAATCTCACATTTGCTTTAGTATTATTTTAAGTGTAAGCAATTAGGTCTGTAATTTCGTTTAACCACTTGCCAGATTTCATTTTTTACATCCCAGCTATTCAGGGGTTAAAACTTTTAACCTGTTCATACTCTTTGAATATTTCAGGGGACCCGCGGAGGTAGCGCTGACGGAATCCCGGAGCTCACCTGCTACCAGAGAAGCAAATGTGGAAAGTGTGGAACAGTCCCCACACAGGGTCCTCCTGGCACAAACCCGCAATGTGCAATGCCAGGGGCCAGCGGCACACGCAGTCCCATTGCGACTCGCAGGAGAAGCAAATGTGGAAAGTGTGGAACAGTCACCGCACAGGGTCCTCCTGGGACACACGCAGAATGCGCAATGCCAGGTGCCGGCGGCACACACAGTCCCATTGCAGCTCGTGGGAGGTACCGCTCCCACCCCAAGGGTAACTGTTCTCCAGGCAGCAGCCCTGGCTTTGGGGAGCTCTGGCCTCTGGGCCAACAGTGTCCATGTGTGGCACAAGGCCCTCATGGGGGTGGTAAACCCAGCCAGGCTCTGGCCGCTGGCCCGACGGTGTCCATGTGTGGCATGAGGCCCTTGCAGGGGTGGTAAACCCAGCCAGGCTCTGGCCACTGGGCTGACGGTGTCCACGCGTGGCATGAGGCCCTCGCGGGGGTGGTAAACCCAGCTAGGCATGCACGCGGGCCTGGGCCACGAAGTTTCCCTTGTTCTTCCTCACTTCACTTCTGTTCGTCCTGTGCACATCAGCCTCCCTTGCTTCAGCAAGGCTTTTTCTATCTCTTTGTTGTTTTATTAAAGTGATAACTTTCAAGTATTTTAGATATATTTTATGCTTATAATGACCATAACCACAAAGTAGCATTTTTGGGTGATCCCGCCACCCCCTCTGCTCACTTGGAATATTCTTTAAACTTCCTTTTGGTTCTCACCTTCAATTAAAAAAAAAGTGTTTCACTGCTTTTCAATGATTTCTAAGTTATAGGTATTTTCTGCTAATGTCCTGCTGGGGAGGGTGACCATTTGGGGCTGTTGGAAATGTCCACCTCAAGGGCTGTTTGCTTCCTTCCCTGGGCCCCTCCTGCATCGGGCCCAGGTGGAGGTGGACCCCACGCTGGGTGGGCATCAGCTCATCTGTGGGTGTTCACAGCAGCTGTGGGTATGCCCATGGACAGGGATGGCTGGTCCCCCATCACCTTCCAGCCTCCTCTTCTAGATGTGGCAGGAGAAATTCTTTGATCTTTTAAAAAATTTACTTCTTAATCACACGAGTAATACCTAAATACATGTGGGATATTCTGAAGCAGACCTCAGGCACCGTGTCATCTCATCCATCAACACTTTTGTTTATATTTCTTACGGGTAAGGGCTTTTACCGGTATCACCACAATATTGCTATCATACCCAGCTAAACTAGCAGTCATCCCTTAATAGCATCCAAGGCCCAACGTCCTCCAGTTGCCTTGAGACATCTTTTATAGAAATCCCAGTGTTGCTGGGCCTGTGGGCAGGTGCGCAAGCCTCCTCTGCAGTGGGCTGTGGGACTGGGCTTTGGCCATTGGTCAGTGCCCATGAGTGGACATGAAGCATACAGCTTCCTGGCAGGACATGGGAAGGGGAAAGACACCACTCCCCTGGTCTCCCCTGAGGGAAGTGTGGGCTTGATGGTGGGCAGATTGTGAGCAGATGCCTGCCATATGCTCAGGACAGCCAGGCCTGGCCCTGCAGAGCTGCTGTATCCACTTCCATGCCAACAGCTTCCTGAGAGAGTGAGCTTCTAGATTATTTAGACCACTGTTATTTTGGCCTTGGTCACAGCAGCCAATGTAGCCTAATGTGTTGTGATTACATGGCCCATCTTATAAAATTATATTTTGCCTGGAATTAATAACTGCCTTGATTTTCAAATGGCTTTGCTCATATATCCATCCTCAATTCTCTCCCAACCTCTCGGTCAGAAATGGAAATCTCTCCACACAATGAGAATGGTGGTTCAGACCCCCCTGGAAGACCTCAGCTCTCCTGCACTGTCACCCAGGAGCCCCTCCCCACATCCCCAGAGCCCCCCGTGTCTCTCCTGTGTCCTGGCGCCAGGTCCTCCTTCAGGGCTGATGCCTCGTTTTGGTGAAGCACTTCCTCTAGCAGCCTCTGTACTGGTCTGAAAACGTCTTTTTCTCTTTACTCTTGACTGATAATATGGTTGGATTCCACTTCTAGGTAGGATATCCTTTTCCTGAATGTACCAAGGCATTGCCCACGGCCCACGGGTTTCCCTGCTGCTGTTGAGGGGTCCCACATACCCCTCTTCAACTTGGGTTCTGAACTGCAAAATGTCATGTGGCCAGCATTCGGCAGCCAGCCAGGAGGGCTGGAGTGAGCCCAGAGTTCACGTGCTCCCTGTCATCAAATCTTGGTGACCTTCTGCAGCTGGGCTGCTGTTGCGGGAAGCAGGGCCCAGCACCCGTGGCATCCGTCCGCCCTCCCTGCAGCCCTGGCTAAGGGTGCCCTGCTCCCGCCTGGTGGGAGGACGTGCGTCCACGGCCGAGCTTGTTGGAAGACAGCCTTGAGGTCTTGGAGTTGCTTTTGGAACTGGTGGCCCCACCTCTGTCTGCAGCCTCCTAGGGCAGCCCAGCTCCTGGTGTCTCGGGCTTTTCCTGGGCTTGGGATGCAGCTCGCCCGCCCCTGCAGACCCACTTTGTGCCACTGCCGGCCTTTCCTCCGAACCACTGTGGCTTGCTGTTTTCTTCATCCCACGGGGTCATCCCCTCCACTCACTGCCATTGTAGCGCAGTTTCCGGAGGTGGTAAAGGAAACACACATGCCCCACAGATCCCTGACAGGGCAGCTCCTGGAGCTCCATCACTATTTGGGGAGGAATCTGAACAGAGCGTCCTCTGCACGCACACCCGCCTCGCTTGGCCTTTCCTCCCCAGGTCCCGGAGCCTCCTCCCGAAGTGGCCACCAGCCACCCTGTGGCTTGGGGACGACCTCTTCACTGGGAGTTGCCACTTCCCCTCTTCCTTCGGCCAGAGATGCCTCTCTCCTTCCATTCAGGTAAACGTAGGTTCGACTCCGGCTGCGGAATCCCTGGCATCCCTGCCTGGTGAGGGGTGGCAGGAAGCACCACCCCCACTTCTGCCTCGGGGTCGGGGCCCTGTAGTGGATCCTGAGCCCCCATCACAAGGCAGCCCTCCCCGTAGAGAGGGAGGATGGCAGACCCCCTCCTCCCCAACCTGAGGCCCCTCTCCAGAGCTCCCTGGGAAGGCACCGGCGTCTCAGGTCCCTCTCAGCGCGAGGCAGCCTGGGAAGGCGCCGGCGTCTCAGGTCCCTCTCAGCGGGGAGCAGCCTGGGAAGGCGACGGCGTCTCAGGTCCCTCTCAGCGTGGGGCAGTCCCAGCTCCACGCGAAGCCCCCGCTCCCTGCACTCAAATTTGCCTCTGGGTTTCCCTGAGGGGGCCGGGAAGAATTGGAAGGTGTTGGGTCTGAATTCAGTCAGAGCTGGAAACCAAAAGAGAAGCAAAAAGTGATAAAAGAAGAAGAAAGACAGGTGCCCGCTAGGGTGAAGTCAGTGGGGAGGGCCGGGCTGACTCATGAAGAATTCAGGGAGGGCTCTGGTTGAGTCATGATTGGGGCCCTCAAAATTCTGTGTTCAGTTTTGTTGAAACCACTCCTAATGATCATCTTGAGAGAAATGAAAAAGTCAAGAATTGGGCTGATGGCCAGATGGTGTTTCTGAAATAAAGATCACATCTCTCAAGTGTCAAACTACACCGCCAGACGACAAACCGTGGGATGACTAATTCCTGTCTCTCTTCCAGGGCCCCTGCCGTGGCTACAAGCGCATGCCAGCGGGATGCCCTCGCCCCGACCCCGTGTGAGCTCCGCAGCTGCTTGCCCTGGATGAGGGGGTCTTCCCGTCGCCCTCTGTGGTGGTTGGATGTTTGGTGGATGTCTACTAAGGCCTCTAAGAAGTCGGCTCTCAAGCAGGAGAGGAAAGCGTCCCCATCCTCACCCACCCTGCTTGCTGGAGGGATATGGAAAATGAAACCCTACCTATCCACGTTCGTCCCTCTTAATTCTGTGACCATGATAGCTTGAGTTGCCACCCTGCATACATAAGTACTGAAAGGCGAGACGGTAAACTCAACTGTGGCTCCCAGAAGCTGTTATAAACGATGAACGCTGAGCCTCTTGCTAGTGTAAACATCTTTGAGAAACAGCTCTGAGGGGTGTGTGTAGCGAAGGTCTGGGGCAACCTCGGCCCCGCCTTCAGTTTCACTCATTTCTGTGGGCTTCCATCAGCCTATCTTCTGCAGGCCTGGCTTTTTCTCATATAGTTCAGTCCAATTTGCTTCATCTTGATAACTCACCCCAGTCACCACCACTGGAGAGATTTTTCAGACACTCCACAAAAAAATAAAAATAAAAAAAAAGCACCAGTTCCATAGATCACTCACCGGGACTATAAAGGTGAGAGTGCTGTCCCACTGTACTCAGATGGTGAAGGTGAGAGCACTGTCACACTGTACTGAGACGGTGAAGGTGAGGGTATGTCCTGCTGTACTGAGACGGTGAAGGTGAGGGCATGTCCTGCTGTGCTGAGACGGTGAAGGTGAGGGCATGTTCTGCTGTACTGAGACGGTGAAGGTGAGGGCGTGTTTGGCTGTACTGAGACGGTGAAGGTGAGGGCGTGGACCGCTATACTGAGACAGTGAAGGTGAGAGTGTGTCCTGCTGTACTGAGACGGTGAAGGTGAGGGCGTGTCCTGCTGCACTCAGACGGTGAAGGTGATGGCGTGTCCCGCTGCGCTGAGACGGTGAAGGTGAGAGTGTGTCCTGCTGTACTGAGACGGTAAAGGTGAGGGCGTGTCTTGCTGTACCCAGATGGTGAAGGTGAGAGCGTGTCCTGTTGTACTGAGACAGTGAAGGTGAGAGCATGTACTACTGGACTCAGACACCATGTTATCTAAATCTGCTGAGCACCGTAGCGAAACCTCACCTCAGCTGTTGATGTATTTCCCTTCTGGCTTCAGAAAGAACGGTGTTCTTCCAATGTGTTTTTAAAACATGGAACACAATATTCTTCACCCTCAGCAGGATTTAGAAAGAATTATCTAGTTACCCAAAGATCAGAATAAGCAGGTTCTGTAGGAACAAGTGCTTCTTTTTCCAGGATCCTGGGGTGGAAAATTCATGCGTGTTTCCCACTTGATGTTCTGATGCCCATGTGGTCAAAGTGTACTTGAGGACGCCAGGTGAGGTTTATGGCAAATCTGAGGAAGAGACCGTGGCCAGGTAGTGTGGCGCATACCCCAGCTTAGTGACCTGAGGAGGTCGTGAGTGCTCCCGCCAGGAGCCTCTGGTTTCTAAAAGGAGCTCCTGAGTTTCTGTTTGTCTGTCCTGCACCACCTTTTTGCATTGATTAACTTTGCTGTTGGTCTGGATCTCCATCTGTTAATTATTGAAGAGGCACTTATTGGTTTTTTTCTGACACCCAATTCGATTTTCCACATTTAGGACACTTCGCAGTTCCATGCTGAGAAAAAAAATGTTAGCATAAGGAGCAGCTTTAAGGTCCAAATCTCAGCTGATGGCGCTCAGCGTTGCACGTGATTTCCAATCTTATCAGGAGCCTGGCAGGAGCATGGCTGCAGCTGCTGCCAGGTCCTTGAGCAATGTTTAGGTGCCACAGGTAACAGCCACGCAGGTGGAGCAGAAAACAAAGCCGTGGACAGGGTTGCTTTCCAAGATGCATGGAATGCAAGAATGTTCTGGGACCTGTGTAAGAAATCTTTGCTTGCCCTAAGCTCACGGGAAGAGTGGTGAGCCAGTGAGGGCACACAGGTCGGACCACCTGCAGAGAAAGAATCACCAATAACCAGCGCTTCCAAGGTGGCTGCGTCCACTGAGGCTTCTGTCCACAATGGGCTGTTTGCCCTGCACCCCCTCTGACACTGGCCCCGTCAGTCCTCTGGGCTTCAAGCCTTCTGTGGGGGGATGATGGCATCTCGTGGTTGTCCTCCTGATGAATGGTGACACTGAGCACCTTTCCAATGTGGACTGACCATTTGGATATCCTCATCTGTGAAACTCCTGTGCCAGTATTCTGCCCATTAAAAAAATAGAGCTGTTAGCATGTTTCTTATGGATATGTAAGTGTTCTTTATATATATTCTGGTTATTTGTTGGCTGCATGGACCACCAATCTCTGAGTCTGACTTGCCTCTTCT
The DNA here is from genome assembly GCF_000001405.40 of Homo sapiens. Classification (NCBI taxonomy): domain Eukaryota; kingdom Metazoa; phylum Chordata; class Mammalia; order Primates; family Hominidae; genus Homo; species Homo sapiens. The sequence continues at coordinate 5,293 of NT_187617.1, read as the reverse complement.
TTTTGGAATGATGTCTTTCGATGAACAAAAGTTTATCATTTTAACGAAGTCAAATGAGATTAACCTTTTCCTGTATGGCTTGGATTTTCTGTGTCCTATTTGACTGCCCTGAGCAAGCTTTGCCTGCCCTGAGCTCGTGGAGATGTCCTGTTCTTTCTCTTTATTCTTTTATGCTTCACTTTAGGGCCAGAATCCACCCAGGCCACACTTCTTCTTCCCTGTCTCTTCCCTTAGACAAATGGAGGAGACGGACAGCGGAGAAGTGGAGGGAGCTGGGGGGAAACTCAGAGCCCAGAAGCCGGAGCTCAGGGAAACCACGTCTTCTGTGTTGACTTCGCCATCTCAGGGGGAAAGGAAGATTCACACAGACTTGCCCGCTCCCCTTGGCTGACTTTAGGTCAGGAAATAGCATGTTCACTTCGGTATGTGGGTGACATCATCAGCATGGCCACTGAAACAGGAGGTGAGGCTGCAGACGGGCTGGGATCCGCCTTGGCGAGCAGAGGCCTGCGCCTCCCTCCTCCACGTCCCCAACACCCCAGATCCGTGACATCCGACACCGAGCAGCTCACATCGCAAAGGAAACACAGCCAGCCCTGCCGAGAGCTGCCTTTCAAAGTAGAAAAAAATCCCCGGAGCAAATGTGTGCACAGGCCCTGCATTTAGAAAGAGGCGGCTTAGCCAGACATAGCTGGAACAAACATATAAAAAACATCTGTGCCAGGAAGCCACTCGCCAGCCCCGCAGACTGGGGGCCCCCACGGTGCCCTTGAGGGGCAGCAATGGCCCCGCCGCGTGGAGCCCCCCGCAGCAGCACCACCAGCCGCCAGCAACAGCTTTGGGCTTTCCTGCTCCTCACTGAAAATGGGCCACAGGCTCCGGGACAGACCACCTGCAGCCAGCACCCCCTGACCAGGGGCGGCACCAGCGAGACCCAGACAGACGGACCAGCAATGCCTTTCCACTTCTTCTCATCCTAATGTCAGTTTTCTTTCTGGTCCTAAAAGTAACGTGATCCATTGGAGACAAGTTGGAAAATGCAATGCAAATATATAAAGAATATGCTACCAGTCACCCACAACTCCAGGCCTAAGACGTGGCTGCATTTTGGTGTGTTGTAATCCTGTCTCACACCTTAGTCTCGTCACAACAAAGGAAGCGTTTCAGGGACACAAAAGCCTTTACAGAATGAGGGCAGATCCCACAGCCTGAGGCCAGAGGGACGAGGATGAGGCCGGGCTTGGCGCCGGCCAGGGGTGGGTGCCCGGGCACCGAGGCGAGTCACTGACACCGTGCAGTTCGGTGGGGCCTGGGGAAAGGTACAGCAGGAGGATTGTGGGGTGGGGACAGAAGAAGAGAGTCCTCTGGGATGGGGTGATGGGGACACAGTGGGTTTCACGACCCGTGCGAGAGAGGCCGGGAAGAGGCGGAAATGAGGACGGGCCCTCGGGTCAGTGCTGCCGCAGCCTCCTCAGAGAAGCAGCTTCCAGGCTGCAACGACTTAGACCTGTTTGTGAAACAGCTGGTTGTGAAATCAATTTAATGAGTCCTAACGAGCATTTTCAAAAAGGAGCAGAGCAGCATGGAAGCACCTATTTCTATGACCATAATGGAAGTCGTGATTTCTATCAGGGAATCACTCATCAGAGGGAGTGCTGTTTCACAAACTCTTATTTCACTTCTGCGTGTACGTGCTGGTTGTGATGTACAATGTGCCTCTTATTGTGGGTCTCAGTTTAAAAAAAGTTGCAAAGCCCTGGCTTAGAAGAAGAAAGAATTCAGAGGCCACATGTGACGACAGTTTAAGCTTCTGTAGATGAGAAAGGGACGGGGCACTCTTGGAAGCAAGGATAGTCCAGGCGGTGGGGCACGCGGATGCGAGGCTGACGGATCTCACACAAACGCACAGGGCACGCTGAGTTAGTCCCCTCGGAGCTCCTCTGATGTAGCCACGGTCCCTCCAGAACCTGCTGCGGCTAAGCCCCATCCGTCTCTGCGGTGGTCCCTCGCTACGTCCCACTTTCTCTTGTTCCTCCTCCTTTCCCCAAGTGACTTCTCCGGAAATGACTCTTAGAACAAGCCCAGAAATGAGCTCCAGTAAAGACCCAAAGGAACAAGAAGGCAGGCGTGCACACGACCCGGGACCCTCACCTCAAAGGAACAGGAAGGCAGGCGTGCACACGACTTGTGACCCTTCACGCGGCCCCCCGCCGTGTCAGCTTCAGTCGCACACCTGTGTCACAGCATGTTCACAGCAAAAACAAGGCATTTTACCTTTTCATAATATGGTCAGAAGTGGAGACTCTTTCCTTTCTCCTTTCAAGACGCTGAGCCACCCAAATTCCTTTTATATCCGTGATTAATAAAGGCATTGGCCAGGCGCAGTGGCTCACGCCTGTAATCCCAGCACTTTGGGAGGCCCAGGCGGGTGGATCACCTCAGGTCAAGAGTTCGAGACCAGGCTGGCCAACATGGCGAAACCCTGTATCTACTAAAATAAAAATAAAAAAATAAAAAAATTAGCCGGGCGTGGTGGCAGGCACCTGTAGTCCCAGCTACTTGGGAGACTGAAGCTGGAGAATTGCTTGAACCTGGGAGGGGGAGGTTGCAGTGAACCGAGATTGCACCACTGCACTCCGGCCTGGGCAACGGAGCAAGACCATCTCAAAACAAATAAATAAATAAATAAATAATGGCATCTCCCTGTCTACTTTTACATTTGTATTTTTGTACACCCCCACCCCGCCCCCCACCACACACACAAATCAGCATGGGTTGTTGTAGGGATTTACTTTAGGAAGGAAGATATGGGTAAATTGGAACCAAGAACACTTGTTTCCAGAAGACGACTTCTGGACCAGAGCAGTGGCCAAGGAATGAAAACATAATTGCATCATGTCCTCCAAGCTTCCTCGGAGGCTGGAAGGAGTCAGACCAGAAGTGCAACCACCGTGAATTGGGACATGTTGTGTATTCATACATGTACAAATTTTTGAATGTGAAGTTGCTTGCAACTAAACTTTTTTCCTAAGTGTACTGTACGTAGTTTTGATGAAGATAACATATATTTGCACAAAAATTTTCAGACACATTAAATTACTAATTGTTTTTGTAAGTCTCTCTGGAAGCAGTGCATGGATTGCATCCTGGTGCAGACTGCTGGGGATTCATTGTTTTTACTTAAAGACCTTCCTCCTGCACTTGCTGTTCCCTTGCCTGGAGTGCTCTATTTTCATTTTCTTTCTTTTGAATTTTATGTTTTTTTTTTTTTATTTTTTGCAAGCTCCCTGTAGCTAGACAAAGTCTGGCATGGAGTAAGCATTGAAGGTGTAACCCATGATGAGGGGTTTGGATTTATTTATGGAACTGGCTCACATTTTTAAAAATATGATAACCAATGAGTTGAAGATTACATTGTTGGTGTTGGCAGAAGAAAGTATGTATGCCAACAATGTGGGCACACTGTTAGTGTGGTAATTCAATGCCTAAGAATCTAATATGGAGTAATCCAAATATGAACAAGTGTGTACATATATTTACTGATGTATTGTTTTAGTAGCATAATTTGGAAAAAGCTAAAATATCCAACAATAGCAAAGCAATTAAATAAATTTAAGAACTCAATAGAATATAATTGTATCAGTCCGAGTTCTCCACACAAATAGAACCAGCAGGATATATGCAAATATAAACACACACATATGCAAATGTAAACACACACGCAAATATAAACACACACATATGCAAATATAAACACACACACCCAAATATAAACACATACACATACTCAAATGTAAACACACACACGCAAATAGAAACACACATGCAAATGTAAACACATACACATATGCAAATGTAAACACATACACAAATATAAACACACATGCAAATATAAACACGCAAATATAAACTCATACACATACACAAATATAAACATGTACACACATACGCAAATATGAACACACGCAAATGTAAACACATACACATATGCAAACGTAAACACATAGACACACAAATATAAACACACACACAGGCAAATATAAACATACACGCAACTATAAACACATGCAAATATAAGCACATACACATACGCAAATGTAAACACATACACATATGCAAATATAAACACTCAAATATAAACACTCAAGTATAAACACACATACGCAAATATAAAACACATGCAAATGTAAACACATATGCAAATCTAAACACACATATGCAAATATAAACACACACGCAAATATAAACACATACACACAAATATAAACACATACGCAAATGTAAACATACACACAAATATGCAAATATAAACACATACACAAATATAAACACATGCAAATATAAACTCATACACATACACAAATATAAACATACACATGCAAATATAACACGCAAATATAAACACATACATATGCAAATATAAACACACACACAAATATAAACACACGCAAATATAAACACATATGCAAATATAAACACACACGCAAATGTAAACACACACAAATATAAACACACATACGCAAATATAAACACGCACACATACACAAATATAAACATATACACATACACAAATATAAACACACACACATACACAAACATGAGAGAGAGGGAGAGAAACCTATTCTAGGGAATTGGACCGTGCAACTCTGGGGACTGGAAACTAAAACAAAATCCACAGGGCAGGCCAGTGGGCTGAACAGTTGGACTAGATTTCTGTGGTGTAGTCTTGAGGCAGAATTCCCTCTTCGTCAGTAAATCTGTCTTTACTCTTAAAGGATTCAACTGATTGAATAAGAGTAATCCACATTGCAGAGGGTAATTTGCTTTACTTAAAGTCAACTGACGGCGAATTTTAATAACGTATTTTAAAACTTTCACATCTAGATCAGTATTTGACCAAGCAACTGAACACCACAGTTCAGCCAAATTGACAAATACAACTGACCATCACAATAATGTTGCCATTTAAAGAAATGGTTAAGGGGGTTATGTAATCATGTGAGAGGAAAATGCTTAGATATTTAGAAAAAAAGCAGAACACAAAACTCCAGTGGATCTTGGTTATGGCAAGGTTAAAAATGTGTAAGACAAAAGGCAGAAATAAGAACACCAAATGCTGATTATGAGGTAGAGTGGTGAGATTAGGTGTGATATTTTCCTCACATGCCTAGAAGTTTTATAATGTTGCTATAATTTTTATCATGGAAAAATAAAATTCTGGCCATGTACAGTGGCTCATGCCTATAATCCTAGCACTTCAGGAAGCAGAGGTGGGAGGATTGCTTGAGCCCTG